>NC_000010.11:57264307-57415822 GCF_000001405.40 Homo sapiens
TTTCCTGGCTTTGTTTCCATACCTCGAACCTCTTCCCACAGCTCCTTACAGGTGGAAGCAAACCAGAACCAAAGGTTTGTATCATCCTCCCCTGGCAGAAGGCAAGCTAAAGAAAAGGGAGAACAGATCTGAAGAGGAAAATGAAAGAAATTCAGTACAGTGCTGTAACACCGTAACTCAGTGAGCTGGGGAAGGGCAGTCAGGGAGCCACTTACTAGACGGTTGTAAGGCAAAGGATTTCAGAGTAGGAAAGGTTCATGTTGACACGAAAAGAATGAGAAATGTTATGTCAATTAAGAATCAACAAAGGAACACCATTTGCCAAGAAGTTGAAATAGGAAAGAACTACTGTTCGAAAACAGAAAAGAAACCATGATGAATATAGTGAGCAACCACAGAATGCAGAGGATGAAAGTAGAGGTAGGAAGGGGTTGGTTACTCAGACTGTTGAAAAAATATAGAGGATATGGAAACAAGAGTAGAAGTCAGGAAAGAGCTAGAAGGCTATTGCAGTGCCTCGGGTAGGGGTAAGAAGTGGTCAGATGCAGATTCTTTTAGAAGTAAATATTTATGAGAGATTATAATGACCAGGAATAGAATGGATAGTTGCTCAAAGGATGGTGAGGTAGGGAGAGATATGAGTTATATTTTGAAATTAAACTAATAGGTTTGCTGATAGATGCGAATCAGGAGATGAAGAAAATAATTTTCACTCCAACAGCGGGATATATGATTGGTAATTTACTGAGATGGAGAAGACCAGAGGGAATTGATCCCTAGCTTAGTAAGACAGCTAGGGATCAAGAATTTTGCTTTGGTAGAGATAAGTGTAAAGTGTAAAATGCCTAAGAAATATCAAGGTGGTGATGTCAAGTGATTTGTTTAATCCCCAAGTCTCTAGTTTAAAGATAAGGGCTAAATATAAATTTGTCATTGGAGCAATAATATTTGAAGTTATGGCCCTGAACAAGTTTACTCAAGTGAAGAGTGCAGAATGAGAAAAAGAAAGATCTCAGGACCCAGCTTGGAGGTTGCCAGAAAAGGTAAATGAAAAGATAGAAATATCACTAGACTACACTTGAATATTATCGTAGTCACCTAACGTAGTCTCATGTTTAGTTTATAAATAGAACTCTCTGAGCTCTTCAACTTTCAACTTCCAGTAGTAATATGGGAATATTTATTTACAAATATGTATTTGAAAGTTCCAGCACATCAAGTCAGCTAAACATTTTATACAACAGAAGTGATGATATTATTTGTCCTATTCTGAGCTTCCCTTATGCAGAAGAAAATGGTAATATCTCTCTTTTCTTAGTGGAATTATCTGCTTTCTATTTGATTTTGTTTCATCTTTAGCATTTTCCCCGAAGAGTCTTCCCCCTTTCAATCATATTTTATATAGGAACAATTTCAAATATATCATGTGAAATTATGGTTGTTATAAATACATACAAAAATTGGGTGTTGTTTATAGATTAGTTTAAATTTTATTTTTAGAGTAATATTTTTAAATTCCTGAGGAAAAAACCTCCTATAAATGAAGCTATCCATGTGATAAGTATCAAACAGCTAGTAAAATAAAGACTTATCAAATAAATGTGTGTTCTATTGTCTCACTACCAGAAATAACACAGAGCCTGTTAAATGAAACAAATTGTGTAACTATAGACTCAACTATAGAAATTGTTTAATTTATTTTAGTGTTTTTTTGTTTTTGTTTTTGAAATGAAGTCTCGCTCTGTGGGCCAGGCCGGAGTCCAGTGGCATGATCTCGGCTCACTGCAACCTCTGCCTCCTAGGTTCAAGCGATTCTCCTGTCTCAGCCTCCTGAGTAGCTGGGCACACCACCATGCCCCGCTAATTTTTGTATTTTTATTAGAGATGGGGTTTCACTCTGCTGGCCCGGCTGGTCTCTAACTCCTGACCTCAAGTGACCTGCCCACCTCAGCGTCCCAAAGTGCAGGGATTACAGGCGTGAGCCACCGAGCTCAGCCTAATTTGTTTAATTTTAAACATGTTAAAGTGTAAATGTAAAATAACCTCATTGCTTAATTTGTTTTCTCTTTTTTCATAGTTAATATTTATTGAGCATTTTCAAATCTCGATTACTTAGGCATATAAATTTACTATATATATGTTGTTAAATAAAATGTATGAAAGGACATTGTTTTGGACTGAGCTCCTGCACTAGACCCCAACAGATCTGACCCCCCAGAAATAAATCAGTCATGCTAGGCACCATGTAATCAAACTGAACTTTAAAAAAGGATAGTTTTCCAAAAAACAGGAGATTCACCAAAACCATTCAGAAGGAACCCATTCAATTTGAAATAGCATAAAAAGAAAGTTGCATGTTCTCACTAATACGTGGGAGCTAAAAAAAATTGATCTCATGGAAGTAGAGATCAATTTGGTTAGAACTGATGTCTCGTTGGTGTCTCTTATGTGATCTCATGTGATCAACATTTTTAGCTCTACACCAATGAATAGAATGATGGTTACCAGATGGTGGGAACGGTAGTGGGGAGGGGGGAATAAATATGGGCTTATTAATGGGTACAAAACACAGTTAGATAGAAGCAATAAGTTCTAGTGTTTGATGGCATAATAGGGAGACCATAGTTAACAATAATTTATTGTACATTTTATAATAGCTAGAAAAAAATAAAATGTTATTAGTACGAAGAAATAATAAATCTTAAGTAATATATATTCCAATTACCCATATTTGATATTACATATTGCATGTTAATATCAAAATAACATGTATACCCCATCAATATGTACAACTATAATGTACTCATAAAAATTTAAAATTAAAAGGAAGAAAATCTTTTTTCTTTTAATTCTGTAAGAAAAGTGACTTTGAAACAACCAATTTATTTTTATTCTCTTTTTTCTACCTCTTCATCCCTCTTCTGCCTTTATAGGCTCCTCAGAGTGTATTTTAATTTCATAGATGAAATACTGGCTGATTGGTGAATCTCTAAAAAAAGCCAACTAGATCTTTAAATCTGTTAAAATTTTGTTTTTGACTGTATACATATATATATATGAATTGATAAATATGCATAAATCTATTCATTCAAAGCATTATTGTATAAATTTGCTGTTATCCTTAATCTACATATGTTTGAAGTGTGATTTTGAGAGGGGTCAAAAGATACAAGTATAGTTTATTACTTGATAATCAGTAGTAGATCTTTGAGTTTAACCAAGGCAGGATTATTGTAGAAAAATATTCCCTTAACTAATATACCATGTATTGGTTTATTCAAAGTAAATTTTTGACAAACTTGTAAATGTAGATCTTCATTCTCCATGTAATAAATTATATAGATCTATACTCCATTTCATATAAAAATAATGTTACTAACTCAACATTGCCACATGACATGTTTTGATCTGTTTTTTAAAACAGCGATGATAAAATTGTGCTGAACTGTTCACATCCTTCTACCATGTCCCTATTCTATGTGTAGTTTTACAATGAGATATTATGTACCTTCATCATATCTAGAGTTTCTCAATCTTGTTTATGAATAATTGGCAAAAGGAAATAGGCATAGTCTATATCTAATGAGGTATCTTCGGTATAGTGAAACATTTCTTGGGTGTTTTAGAAGGAAAGAATGGTGAGGCTTTTGAACCTTATATTTAACATCTGCACTTGTGTATCTTTTGCAAGAATAGACTTTCAAAATATCTTCTTCAACATTATCTAATGTAATATTTTATAAATTGTTTCATCTTTCAGTGAACTTAATGACACGTGCAATTTAAATTTCAGTATTGTCATAAACTTAGCAAAAACATAGAAGCTTTATAGCCGCAAATTTGTTCATGATTACTAAATCCAACTTCAAGACACCTGAGAAAAAAACCTGACGGTCCAGTGTATGGTATATATATAGGTTTCAGGGAGTTACTATGAAAAAGTAACTTGTCTATTTAGGATGGAAGCTGAGTTTGCAAATTTGTTTAAGTTAGGCCCTTTATCTATAAAGAGACCCACCTTCAAACTGGGTTAAATAAGTCATAATCAGAAGTCCCAGGTTGCAGTAGACGTCGAGTTTGGTTCTGTGCAGTGTCTCTGGCTCACGTTTTTTTATAACTTTGGATTACTTTGACAGTGTTCTTCTCTGTTTTGTTCTAAGACTAGTTTACTAACAGCGTGCTGGTAAAATGACATAACTGTCCACTTTTGACATTAACAAACCATGATTACTGAAGGGAGAGCAGGCCACTAAATAATTTGTTCAAGTTCCTCCTTTACTAAATTCAAGACAACAGAGATTATCATGTCATTGTATGGTGATTGTACACGAATTTCTAAAGATCATTCCGCAAGTTGGAAACATTTAAAATCCTTATGGAAAATGAATAAACCCAACATCTAATATTGTTTCATGTCTCCTCCTTTGACCTCCAGCATATTACCTGCTCGAAATAGTCTGCCACCACCAAAAAGATTCAGAAGAGTCTATACTCTTGTTAATTCTAGATTTAGCTCAGGATTACATATCTGTCTTTAGCAAGGCTGGTACATGATCAATTCTCAATTCTTTTCATAATGAATCAATTTAGGGTAGAACATATTAATATCATCCTTAATTTGTCAGAAGGTATGTACCCTGCCTGTAAAATCTGAAATTCTTTCCATTTCTTTCCCCATGTCTTGGACCACTCCTTTCCTCTTATTGAGTTGACACCATTGTTCTAGGTCTTATCTTCTGCATGCACAAAAGATATTACCACTTTGAGCTACAGTCTATATTCTCCAGGAAAACATCTTTCTTTCTTCCTTCCCTATCCGATAAAGGAAGAAGTCACTTTCCATTCTTAACAGGACCATTATCTTTCTTCTTGGAAATCTAGGAAACTGTTGTTCCTGCTTTAAACTGGAAGTTAAAACATTTAATCTGAATTTTGTGAGGCCTCGTTTTTTTTAATAAAAAAAAAGCATAAGGATTTTTTCCTATGGCATAATTTAAAATAGTTATATAAACATGAAAATCAGTGTCAGAAAATAAAGAAAGCTGAGAAATGATACATAGCAGGTTGAGTAAAATAGAATTTTAAGTTTAGTATGTAGTTGAGTAAAAGCTCTAGAAAGAATGTTATCTGAAAATATTTTTAGAGTTAAATAATCATTTACAATACTACATTGCAAATGGTACCAATTCGCATATTATTTTAAAATACTGAGATATTTTATAAAAGCTATTCATAGCTTTTATCTGTGATGATATGACATTACAAAATTTCGGAAAATCACCCCTGATTATTACCAACCTTCTTTAAAGATCAGTGCTGTGGGACAGGGTGAAATGAGAACATCTCACAGTTACGTGCAGGTCAATCCAACATGTTGTGTATAAGATCTTACACAGACAGAGATTTAATATTAATTAAGACATAACCTCTGCCCTAAAGAAGATGGGGTCTAGCGGTGGAGACTAAAATATGCACAATTATCTGTAATGGAAAACAGTGTGTGAATAGGCAAGGAAGACAGCAATTGCCAGAGGGTCAGCAAGTCAAAAACTAATCATGAAAGTAACACCTGAGATGGGGCTCAATACCTGATTAGCATTTCAGTAGGCAGAAATGGTGAAGGAAATTCCAAAATTAGAGAAATAATAAGTAAAACTAAATGGGTGAATATGTGCAATATATTACAGGAGATAAGAAATAATCTGGTAAAAATGAACTGTAGCCTACGTGGCATTCAAGTTAACTTGGGTCCAGACCTAAAAAGCCCTGCCTAGCCACGTCACACCATTTACTGAAACAACGGCGGAGCTGCGCTTTATGCATGTGTATTTTTAATCTAATTTTGCTTTGTGTTTTCTATAGAGAAAGAATTCAGACGCCAGGCGCGGTGGCTCACGCCTGTAATCCCAGCACTTTGGGAGGCCGAGGCGGGCAGATCACGAGGTCAGGAGGCCGAGACCATCCTGGCTAACACGGTGAAACCCCGTCTCTACTAAAACTACAAAAAATTAGCAGGGCGTGGTTGCAGGCGCCTGTAGTCCCAGCTACTCGGGAGGCTGAGGCAGGAGAATGGCTTGAACCCGGGAGGCGGAGCTTGCAGTGAGCCGAGATCGCGCCACTGCACTCCAGCCTGGGTGACAGAGGAGACTCAGTATCAAAAAAAAAAAAAAAAAAAAGAATTCAGAAAAAAATGAATACATTTTTCCACACATCTTTTTCCATTCGAAATACAAAAGCTTAATTGAAGCTCATGGGGAAAAATATCCATTTTACAGCTTTAATATGTTAATGAGCAAAGGCTATTGTTTCCCGGCCCTCAAACTCATTATCAAGGCTTTATTTTGTTTTTATAACATTTTTTCTTTAAAAATTTACAAAGATAATATACAAACACACCATTACAAATAATGTAAGCAGTTGCCATGTGTATTGACAAATTTAAGACAATAACTTTACAACTAACTCATTCTCACTCCATCCCTAGAGATGAAAAAATGTTTGATATGTATTCTGAGAGTATATACAGTATATATTGTACAAACACATTTTCTTTATGTAAATGTATATGTAAATATACATTGTTTTGCACCTTGAAATTCTATTCACCTAACAATGCTATTTCATTGCTCACTTTTCTGGTATTAAGCTTAAGAAATAAAGGGACTCATCTTGCCTTCCTCCCTTATTTCAGGGTTCATGTTACTGGTGTCAAAGGCCTAAATTTTTTTTCCCAGTATTATAGCTATTTATGATAAAAGGCAAGTCAAAGTCCCCCAGGAACTCTCTTTCCAGCTTTTCTTAAATAAAATTGACTATTTCTGCAACATAATCTGAATATCAGTAGTTTGAAGCCTAGCATATCACTAACTAAAATACTTTCAGATTAAAAAATTAATTGCATGTTAAAAGGCCAGGAACAGTACATGTTGTGGATGGAAACTCCTATTGTTCTTTATTTCATTCTTTTTTTCTGATTTTTCTTCACATCAACCCTTCCCCTATCAAGGTCATAAATTTAGAACCTCTCTTTTAGGTATGGCTAGCATGCAGAGTCCTCTAATTTTGCTAACAACTCTTAAATGCAATTTTCTTATCCTTTTTCAAAGTATTTTACATCTGAAATTCTCATCTACTCAGTTCTTCTCATAGAAGAGATTGGCGCTCTCCAGCTCAGGCAGAAGTTTTACCAGAAATGGGAGAAAATTCCAACACCAAATTGACTAAATCTCATTTATGGTGAAGAATCCCATTTGAGAAGCCTGCTGGGGCAGTGTAGAGATAGTCAGGCTTTACGGAAAAAACAGGAAAAATATTTATTACAAACTATTCAAGTTTTCCTATTATTTGTGATTTTACTACAGCAAAGAAAGATAAGTACTAGTGACAATATAGGTAATATACTCCGAGGGATGGGTGAGCTGAGAATGGAGTGAGAAAATAAAAACAGAACAGATAATTTGGAGCATTTCATTAATATGTACTGATTGTGCTGTACTGGGCTGGTACCTAGAAAAATTATCTTTGAGAGACAGTCCATTTAAAGTAACATTCTCCTTTAATGGTTTGTATCTTAAATTCTAATTACCATTGTGACAAACTGGGACATTAGTACATTTGTATTAGTATTTTAAATTAGCATAATAATTGTACATATTTATAGAGTGTAATGTGATATTACAATTCATGTATACAATGTAATGATCAAATCAGAGTAATTGGGATATCCATCACCTCAAGTATTTATCATGTCTTTGTGTTAAGAACATTCCAAATCTTTTCTAACTATTCAAAAGTGTACAATAAATTATTAACTATAGTTATCCTACAATGCTATAGAACACTATAACTTACTCTTCCAAGTCTAGCTATAATTTTTTATCTTTTAACCAACTACTCTCTAACTGCTTTCCTGCCATCCACAGCCTCTAATAACCACTATTCTACTTTCTACTTCTATGGATCAACTTTTTTAGCTTCCACACATGAGTGAGAATATGCAGTATTTTTCTTTCTGTGCCTGACTTATTTCACATAACTTAATGTCTTCCAGGTTCATCCATGTTGCTGCAAATGACAGGATTTTATTCTTTTTTATGGCTACATGGTAGTCTGTTGCATATATACACCATTTTTTTTATTCATGTGTTGATAGACCTTTAGGTTGATCGTGTATCTGGGCTATTGTGAATAGTGTTGTAATAACCATGATGGTGCAGATATCTCTTTGATATACTGATTTTCTTTCTTTTGGATATATACCCAGTAGTGGGGTTGTTGGATCATATAGTAGTTTTATTTGTAGTTTTTTGAGGAACTTCTATACTGTTTTTCATAATATCCATCCTAATTCACATTCACACTTAAATAAGACAAACTTGGTGAGCGGATTTGTTTTTCTAGGAAAATGACACATAGGTAAAATAATGACAATTATTTGAAAATTAAGCTTTCAAATTTCTCAAACCCCATTTTGACCCCTGCAGTGACCTTTTACCTGTTGGGTCATTGTGATTGAAGGCTTTTGGTTTTAAGAGTGCCAAATATCTTGGATGAGTGGGATTGGACTAGGTCAAGTTAAAATGCTACGTAAGTGTTTATTGCTATTCTTAAGGTCCTTCAGAGATTTACATTGATTAAATTCTCCTCAGATATGAAAAGCTTTGGCTAATTTCCAGGGTTCCAAAAAGTTGAATTTGATAAGTTTGCTGGTATTCTTATTGCTTTAACAGAGAAGAGGATTTTGGAAGTCCTTATTCTGTCATTCCTAATGATGTCACTTTTCACTTTGACCTTCAAGGTATGCAGCAAGACAAATTTATTTGGTTCGGAATTATGCTAGTTTATTTATTCATTAATTTGCATATTTAACAATATTTGTTTTAAAAATATTTAATCTTGTACTTATTTATTCTTATTTTTCTAACATATAATTGGCTAATTAAATGTAGATGAGTATGAATGTATTTGTTTGTTTTTCTCAGTGCATAGGTGAGTTTCTAGGGGTAAACTAGGAACTTGTAGAACAACTTTAGGCCCTACTAGTGTTATATAGCACAGAGTAGTTTAGAAGAATATACTTTTTATAACCTGGAATTTCACTGCATGTATGAGTGGAAGTAAAACCATACATTTTACCCAAATGTAATTACAAAATATCTTTCTCATGTTTACATCCAGGAATAAATATGGCAAAAATTATTCATTTTTAAATTGAGTAAGATGGTCATTCAGGCATATCGTTGAATATATTTCTGTATGACATGCAATTTATTTTATCACTTTAAAAAGTCAATTGACCACTTTTATATTAGTCATACCTAGAAAGAGTTAGCTGCAGAGAAATACGAGATATTTAGTAAAGTGTTATACAGTAAAGCCAAAACACCCACCTCATAAAATATCTTATGCAGTTGTCCAATTACAAAATAAAATTTTCTCACATTGTCCTTTCTTCTAGGTTGTTTTACAGTTACTAAATAGTTCAACTATTGGCCAGTAAATAACTATTGGTAGATTCATTATTATATGCTACTATTTCTCTATGGAAGTGATAACCCTATGTAACGACAGACTAAGAAAAAAGAGAAATGACTCATAAATAAAATCAGAAACAAAAAAGACATTCCAACTGAAACCACAGAAATACAAAGGACTGTTAGAGTCTATTATGAATAACTATGCACTAACAAATTAGAAAACATAGAGAAAATAGATAAATTCCTGAACACATAAAACTTACCAACATTGAACCAGAAATAAATAGAAAACCTGAACAGATCAATAGCAAGTAATGAGATTAAATCAGTAATAAACAGCCTCTCAATAAGACACAAGCCCAGAACTGAATGGCTTCACTGCTAAATTTCACCAGACTTCAAACAACAACCAATACCCCTGAGACCAAAACCAGGTAAGAACATAACAATGTAAGGAAAGTGCAGGCTAACGTCCCAGATGAACAAAGATGCAAAAGTCCTCAAAAAATATTGCAAATCAATTCCAACAGTACATCAAAAAAATTATACCTATGATGAAGAGGGATTTATCCCAGGGATGCAAAGATGGATTGTACACATGAAAATAAATGAACATGATATATCACATCAACAAAATGAAGGACAAAAACCATATGATTGCTCAACAGATGTAGGAAAAACAGTTGATAAAATTCAATATTCCTTTATTATAAAAACTCTCAACAATTAAGCTTGGAAGGAATGTAGCTCAACACAATAAAGGCCATAAATGAAAAACCCCAGTTAACATCTACTGAATGAGAAAAAGTTGAAAGCTTTTCCTGTAAGAACTGGAATAAGAAAAGTTTGCCCTTGCCCATATTTACTGCTCTTATTTAACATGCTACTAGAAGTCCTGGCCAGAGCAATTAAGCAAGGGAATGAAATGAAGGGCATCCAAATGGGAAAGAAGGAAGTCAAATTGACCCTGTCTGCAGATAATATGACCTCATGTAGAGAAAAATCTAAAGATTCCACCAAAAACTCTTAGAGCTGATAAACAAATTCACTAACATAAAATCAACAAACAAAATAGGTAGCATTTCTATATACAAATAACAAACTAGCTTAAAAAATCAAGAAAGGGATTCCATTTATCATAGCTAATATAAAAAACCACCTAGGAATGAATTTATCCAAGGAGGTGAAAGATTTCTACAAGTAAATCTGAAAATCACTGATGAACAAAACTGAACAGGACAGAAAAAAATGGAAAAATGTCATATGGTCATAGACTGGAAGAATTAATATTGCTGATAATACTATCCAAAGCAATAGGCAGATTCAGTGCAACACCAATCAAAATGCCAATGACATTGTTAACAGAAATATAAAAAAATCCTAAAATTTGTATGATACCACAAAAGTCCTCAAATAGCAGAAGCAATCATGAACAAAAAAAATAAAGCTGGAGTCATCACACTGCCTGACTTCAAAATGTCATACAAAACTATAGGAATCAAAACAGTATGGTACTGGCATAAAAACAGACACAGGTAACAATGGAACAGAATACAGAACCCAAAAATAAAGCCATGCATCTACAACCAACTAATTTTTGATAAAGTTGTCAACAATGTATGTTGAAGAAAGAACAGTGTCTTCAATAAATGATGATGGAACAACTAGATATCCATATACAGAAGAATGTAACTAGACCTCTAACTCTCAGACTTCTAACTCTCATGTAAGAGCAATTAAAAATGGATTAAAACTTAAATATAAGACTCAAATGTATGAAGCCACTAGAAGAAAATATAGGGGAAATGCTTCAGGATATTTGTCTGGGTAAAAATTTTATGAATAAGACCTCGAAAGCAGAAAACAAAAGCAAAAAAGACAAAGGGGATTACATCAAGTTGAAAAGCTTCTTCACAGCAAAGGAAACAGTCAACCAAATGAAAGGTAACATAGAGAATGAGAGAAAATATTTGCAAACTATTCATCTGACAAGGGATTGATACCCAGAATATACAAGGTACTCAAACAACTCAACAATATAAAAACAAATAATGCAATTCAAAATGCACAAATGATCTAAATAGTTCTCAAAAGAAGATATAGCAAGTTTTTATTTTTTTAAAAAAGGCTAAACATCACTTATCAGCAGGGAAATGCAAAGCAAAACCATGAGATGTTATTTTATTTTTTATAATGGCTACTATAAAAAATACAAAAATAACAAATGCTGGTAATGACGCAGAAAAAAAGAAACTCTTATGTAAAGTGAAAAGTGACATTATCAGGAATGACAGAATAAGGACCTCCAAAAGTCCTCTTCTGCATAAAAATGATAAGAACGTCAGTGAAATTATCAAAATCAACTTTTTGGATCCTTGGAAATTAGCCAAAGCTTTTCACATCTGAGGAGAATTTAATCAATGTAAATCTCTGAAGGACCTTAAGAATAGCAATAAACACTTAATGTAGCATTTTAACTTAACCTAGTCCAATCCCTCTCATCCAAGTTATTTGGCACTCTTAAAACCAACAGCCTTCAATCACAGTGACTCAGCAGGTAAACAGTCACTGCAAGGATCAAAATGGGGTTTGAGAAGTTTCAAAGCTTAATTTTCAGATAAGTATCATTATTTTACTTATGTAGCATTTTCCTAGAGAAAAATACACTCACAAGGTTTGTCTTTGCTTACATAACTTGCAGCTCACCCTGTGCTAACATTTTCCTTGAGTCATTTGTCAATGGAAATCAATGACAGTTGTTTAGCATTATCATTTAAATGTTAAATTAAGGTTGTTATTTAAAATATGGCAAAATGTAAACTAATTCAAAAAGTTAAAATAAATAGCCAAGAAATAAAATTTTGGAGGGGCTTTGAAAACCTCTGGCATATTTCTGTTAATTTTGAAGGTGGTGCACATATGTAGGCTTAAGTATATGATGAGGGCTGTGTGCACATTAAGAAAACACCTAAGTTCTCATTTCTGGCTGAACTTGAGGCCCTGTACAAATAGAAATTGAAAGTTAAGGCAAAGTTTTGGGCTGGCCCTTGAAATTAACTAAAGGATTTCAAAAACCTTGGAATTTTTTTTCAAGAAAAATGTTTAGTTGTAGATAAGAACAGAGAGAATAACAGCTTCACTGAACATTGAAGGTATGCCCCAATACATACCTACCTCCTTTGCAGAGAATGAGAAACGCTGGTTGCAGGTATTTAAGAAAATCTCTTTAACTGACCACTCATTAATCAACCACTAAGCTAACTGAATAGAGATTTTTAGCAGACCCACATGAGAATGAATACAGATTTTAAAAATGACTTGTCACAAAATAAATATTAACAATGACAACAAATAACTATAAAAAGAAACAACAACAAAACCTAAGGATGGGAGATAATCTGTATTTCAGAGTTGGAACACTATATATTATATGAAATGTCAAGTCTTCAATTTAAAAATCATGACATGAAAGGAATACAAAAAAAAGTCCCATACAAAAAAGAAAGACAACAAGAAATGGCCCTTAAAGATTCACAATTTTTGATCATTAGTCAAAACTTTAAAATCACCTATTTTCAATATTTTCAAAGAAATAAGCCACATTTAAAGAACTAAAGGAAAGTATACAAATGATGTTTCATCAAAGAGAGAATAATGATAAAAAGATAGAAATAAAAAAGAATGAAATAAAAACTGTGAAGTTGGAAAATATAGTATTTGATAGAAAAAAATCACAGAGAAGCTCAACTAAAGATTTGGGCTGGCAGAAGAATGCATCTGATAACTTGAGAGGGATGAATTGAGATTAGCCATTATAATGAACAGAAAAGTGAATGAAGGAAAATAAACAGATCCCAAGGACCATAAGAAACGTTATTATGCATATCAATTTATACATAATGAGAACCCTGAAAGAAGAGGAAAAAGAGATGTAGGGTAAGAAACAATATTTGATGAAATAATGATTTAAAAAATTCCCAAATTTCATGAAAACCATTCATCTGTACATCCAAGAATCTCAGTGAACTGCAAGTGGGATGAATTCAAAAAGATCTAAATCTTCACACATCATAACAAAACTTTCAAAAGCTAAAGAGGGTATCTTGAAAACAGCAAAACAGAAACAACTCATTATTTACAATGCGCAGAAAAAAAAGTCTGACAATCAACAGTTCTACTAATATATGAATAGAAGTTAATCCTTCAAAAATAAAGAGTTTTTCAGATAAACAAAAAGTAAAATAATGTACTACTAGCAGACCTGCCCTACAAGAAAAAATGCTAAAGAGAGTCGTTTCGGTTGACATGAAAAAACACTAGAGAGTAAATCAAATTCATGTGAAGCAATAAAGATTACAAGTAAAAGTAACTAGATAGATAAATATTAAAAAAATATATTTTTGTTTGTAATTGTTTGTATCCCATATCTTCAAGACAACTACACAAAGCAATAATGATCACTGTTTATTTCTATAAACTCGCAATGAACAATACAAAAATGAAATTAAGAAAACAATTTCATTTATAATAGCTTATAAAGAAAAATTATATATCAATAAATTTAAATCAATGCAAAACTTGTATACACAATACTACAAAATAACATTTTGATAAATAAAATAAATGTAATTATAAAAAGTAAAATAAATTGAATGATATCCTTCATTTCTGGATCAGAACACTTAATATTATTGAGGTGGTAATTACTCCCCACATTGATCTGCATATTTAATTAATCCCCTTCAAAAGCACATAAAGCATTTTTGTGGAAATCAATAAATTGATTCTAAAATTCATATAGAAATGTTAGAGACACAGAAGAGCCAAAAGAACCTTGAGGAAGAAAAAGCTGTAGGACTCACGGATTCTGATTTTAATGCTTGCTAAAAAAAAAAAAAAATCAAAAACACAGAAACAGAGAATAAAAAGTGGTTAAGGAGGTGGGGATGAGGAAAAAATGGGGAGATAAAGGTCAAAGGATACAAAATAGCAGATATGTAGAATGAGCAAGTTTAGAAACATTGTACATAGTGAGGTCTCTACTTAATAGTATTATACTGTATTCAGGACTTTTGCTAAAAGAGTAGATTTTGGGCACTCCTGCCATGTACATACAAAATAGGTAACTGTGTACAATGATGAATATGTTAATTTACTTGACTTTAGTAATCATTTCACTATATGTATCTCAAAACATCATGTTGTACACTTCAAATATATAAAACTGAAGGTATAATATATAAAACATAAAGCTTCCTAGGAAGTTACAGTAATTAAGATGTGTGCTACTAGCATAAGTTATATGAAATATAACTTATATGATATGTTATATATATCATATATCAATGTAACTTGTAAGTTATCAATATAATTTTTATGATATATAGAAGTTATATAGCTTATGTGACATATGTAATGTATATATAACACATAACTTATATGTTATATATAACTTAACTGCACTGTATGTATGAAAAAATGAATATTGATATATATATAAAATAATTGGGACTCGGGATCTCTCATATTTATGGGCAATTATACAAAAACACTGCCAAGATAATACAACGGGGACAAAGAACAGTCTTTCCAAAAATGGCGCTGAGACAACTATTTATCCACATGGAAAAGAATTGGAACCCTTATCTTATGGCATGTACAAAAATTATCTAAAATTACATCAAGTTCCTAAATGTGAACACTCAAACAGTAAAACTCTTAAAAGAAAACAGTGTATTTTCTTTCTTAAAATTTTTATTTTATTTTACTGTAAGTTCTGGGATACATGTGCAGAACGTGCAGGTTTGTTACAAAGGTGTACATGTGCCATGGTGGTTTGCTGCACCCATCAACCCATCATCTAGGTTTTAAGCCCCACATGCATTAGGTATTTGTCCTAATGCTCTCCCTCCTCTTGCCTCCTATCCCCCGATAGGCCCTGGTGTGTGATGTTCCCCTCCCTATATGTGTTCTCATTGTTCAACTCCCACATATGAATGAGAACATGAGGTGTTTTGTTTTCTGTTCCTTTGTTAGTTTGCTGAGAATGATGATTTCCAGCTTCAACCATGTCCCTGCAAAAGACATGAACTCATTCTTTTTTATGGCTGCATAGTATTCCAGTATGTGTGCCACATTTTCTTTATCCATTTTATCTCTGATGGGCATTTGGGTTGGTTCCAAGTCTTTGCTATTGTAAATAGTACTGCAATAAACATATGTGTGCATATGTCTTTATAGTATAATGATTTATAATAGTTATACCTATTATAAATAGATTACTGGGTATATACCAAACTGGGTATATACCCAGTAATCTCCAAAGTAGTTGGATTGCTGGGTCAAATGGTATTTCTGGTTCTAGGTCCTTGAGGAATCCCCACATGAAAACAGTGTATGTTTTCATGACCTTGGACAAGGCAATGGTTTCTTAGATATAGTGTCTTAACCACAAGCAACAAAAGAAACAAAATTTTAACATCAAAATTGACAATTTTGGGGCTTCTTTGAAGAAGCACAATATGGTACTATCAACAGAGTGAAAATACAATCCACAGAATATGAGAAAACATTTATGTGATATAGCTGTTAAGAATCTATTACCCAGAATACATAAAGAACTTTTCTAATTCACTCATACATGACAAATAATCCAATTAAAAAGTCAGTAATGGAAAAATAAGCAAAAGTTTTTAATAGATAGTTCTCAAGAGAAAATACACAAATGACCAATAAGCACATAAAAATAAACACTGCTCAACATCAGTGGTTATTAGGGAAATGCAAATCAAAACCACAATGAGATACTTCCTCACACCCACTAGGATGGCTATAATCAGAAAGACAAACAAGAGCAAGTATTGCCATGGATGTGGATAAATCACAACCCTTACATGTTACTGATGGGAATAAAAAATGGTGTCGCTGCTATGGAAAACAGCCTAGTAGTTTTTCCAAAATTAAACATTAGTTACCATATAAGCTGCAATCTCCTAGCGAGATATCAAAGAGAATTAAAAGCATGAGTCCACACACAAACCTGTATAGGGATGTTCACAGCAGAATTATTTAAAAAGTCAAAATGTGGAAATAACCTAAATGTCCATCAGCTGTGTTCATTAACAAAATTTGATATTTCCATATGATAGAATACAGTTCAGTCAAAAGAAGAATAAAGCACTAATACAGGTTACAACATGGAACAGTGATGCACACAACGTGGATACGTACATATATACAACATACAAAGAACATGGGTGATCAGTGAAAACATTATTATAAGTGTTAAAATCCAGGCACAAAATGTCTCATCTTGTATAATTCAAATTATGAAAAAAAGATTTAGAATAGGCAACTGCATAGAGAATGGAAGCAGGTTAGTAGTTTACAGGGCCTGAGGGACATGGAAATTGGTAGTGAACGCTAGTGAGTAAGGAGCTGCTTTTTGGGGCAATGAAAGACTTCTGCAATTAGGTAATAAAGATGTTTGTACCACTTTGTAATTATAATAAAATGATTGAATTATCCATTTTAAAGGGGTGAATACTATTATACATACATCATATCTCAATAATAATTATTTTTTTGTAAAAATAGTCAATGATGCTTTTTTAAACTTGAATTTATTTCCAACAACTATATACTCAAATGAATACCTGAATCTGGCCTCTGTAAAAGGAAAAGAGAATTTTAAGTGCTTTAAGAGACTCAGGGAGAAGGAGCAATGAAAACAGAAGTGTCTTGGTCCTCCTTTCACGTAGATGTAGAAAAAAATAATGTGTACTTAAAAGTAGAGGACAATGTTAAGGGTTCTTTATTTCCCGGTGGTATCCTGTAGTTCACAAATGCTCCTTTCTCCTAAGTGTCTTACAAGGGAGAGAAATCGAAACTCAACAAACCAGCTTATGAGCAGAAAACGCTGTCTAAGTGAGTAAATTATTAAAGACTGTCTGTGGAATCCTTTCTAAATGTCATTAATAGATTAATGGATGAATATGCACCTAATTTGTTTACTTGTCGAAATGCATCACATTTAATTCAGAAAATCTGAAACCATAGTAGAAGGAAATTAAGAATATTGCAGCCATAAAAAATGATGAGTTCATGTCCTTTGTAGGGACATGGATGAAATTGGAAGTCATCATTCTCAGTAAACTATCGCAAGAACAAAAAACCAAACACTGCATACTCTCACTCATAGGTGGGAATTGAACAATGAGATCACATGGACACAGGAAGGGGAATATCACACTCTGGGGACTGTGGTGGGGTGGGGGGAGGGGGGAGGGATAGCATTGGGAGATATACCTAATGCTAGATGACGAGTTAGTGGGTGCAGCGCACCAGCATGGCACATGTATACATATGTAACTAACCTGCACAATGTGCACATGTACCCTAAAACTTAAAGTATAATAAAAAAAAAAAAAGAATATTGCATAGGTTAAAAAATGTCAATGTATGAACTTTTCTTTCTTAGGCTTTGGTAAACTGCATATTATAGAAGAAAATTTCTGTGGTAAACTGATAAGACGGCAATCCAAGAATGTTGACAAATGTACACATATGCAGTTTGTAGATATATATAATCGTCATTAACATGTATATAGTTAGATTTTAATGAATACTATGGTGTGAATGGGCACAAACCTAATCTTGCCATTTCCTCTTCAGTATTTTTTACTGCAAGGAATTTGACTTTTTAAAAATAATATAAGAAAACAAAATGGCAATGCATAGCATATGCACACACACACACCCCCCAATATGAACTAAATATATGGATCAACAGAGTCTAAAACTGCTCACCCTGTGGAAATAAATGTAAGACAATTAATACTACCTCAAATTTTTAAAAAAATCATCTAAATTTTTAGGTTGTTTCCTTTTATAAATATCGTTAAGTGACCAAGTGCCAAACACTTAAGCCTTACTGATTCTCTTTTGAATATTACTTTTGAATACTGTGTTCAGGTAGGTTCAGAGTCATTTTTCATATTGCAACCAGAAATATAACATATGTTGAATATTAAGGATTACAAGCGCTCAAATTACTAATATTTTTCAATAGTCTATGAAACAAGAAAACATCAGAATTCATATATTCAGGGTGGGCACGATGTTTATTAAAAAGTAAAAACAAATAAAATTTGACATAAGCATTTGGTTAATTCAAATGTATATCCTATTATGAGAACACCATGTATATTTTATTAAACTTATTATCCTTGACATTCTTACTAAATTAAACCCAAAGGATAGCACATAAAATTTGTATTTTTTATAATCCAGAAATTCACTTGTGGGGTGTGAAGATGCCTGACAAAAGCACAGGAATGAATCATTTTTACTGTAACATAATAATGAAGAAAAATGTCTCCATAAAATACTTCCAGATGATTATTCAAATTGTCTTCACTCTGAATGTATGCTTCTGTGTATGAATCCATAAAAAGTCATAATTACAGTGTGCTGAAACATTTGTTTGAATTTGCATGGTTTCTTTAGCAATATCTAATAGACATACTGCTTTGCATAGAAACTCGTCTTTGAATAATGTAAAGACATTATAAGAAGAATAGAAGTAAATATTTTATTTATTTAGATTTTTGAAAACAAATGATTAGAACCTGCTGCATATGAAAGTACAGATATTAATGTATTCCTTTCCTAATATTTAGATAATTTTTTTAAAAAATTATATATCTGAGATACATAAGGAGCTGTACAGAGCTGATTTGGTTTTACTGGAACTGGAGCTAGAAACAAAGACATATAGAAAAACTGACTCAGTAAAATAAAGGCAGTGTAGATTTTTGTCCAAAACGGTAGGTGCTTATAAAACATATTTTTAAAATATTTATTTTAATTTGCCTTAACAGAACAGAGTTTTGCACTTTTGCTTATCTACATAACTACTATACAAAGCTAGTAATCTCCTGTATCTTTAAATATAAATAGCATCTTACTTCCAGGGTAACATTTCTTAATTTGTGGTTCAGGAACCATGTGCAACACCCCCAGTTTGCTAAATCAGAATCTTTAGGTTTAAGACGCTGAAGTGTGTATGTCTAACAATGCCTCATCCTGTTGTAGTTATTATTTTGCAGTAGTATGAGAAAATGAAGAAGATAGTATAGTATTTATCAATTTGCTTTAAATGGGCAACACAATCCACTCTTAATCTTCCTTTATCCTGAATACTATTATTATTATACATAATATTATCACCTTATAGGAACTAGAGATGCAGAGTTTAAGATTATGTAATTTATATGAGGATATGTTGTTTTTAAAAATCTACTAATATTTTATTAGAGATTAATTTCTACTCAATGCATACTTAGAGAAACTTTCAATGTGCAAGCATCTGATTGAATGACCAAAGTAGCTTTGTCACACTAAATGAAATCACTCATTCTCAACAAAGTTTGTATAATCTACAAATGCTCTTTTTAAAAATGATGAATATGTGAAATGTGTTTTTGTTATTAACAGATCAATTGTAACTATACATTTCTATAAAAGTAAGAAAATAAACTCTAAAATGCTAAACACAAAAATCAGCTATTCTTATTAAATGATAATATAAACAATGGATTCAGAAACAATATTCACTATGGGGCATCTCAACAGTAAATTGCAAAATGGCAATTGACTAAAAGTGTGTATCTGAAGAAGCCAGACGTGATATTAGGTGACTTGGTGATACATAGATATTTACTTAGTTTTTTTTTAGTGGCAATAATTTATGAATAAGAATAATTAGGAAAGGTTGCCTAAATATTTATTACAGAAAGTTGTGTTTCTGACTCTGAGACATCTTCAGTTCCAGGTATACATTATCAAGAAGGTTTTAATCAAGAAGGATTAGTGTTAAGCTACCTGAAAATGAGATTTGGAAACACTTTGTTATTGCTCCATATAATTTACAAAAATACAAATGAATATATAGAGAGATATTGTATTACACATTCCAAAGTAACAACGGAGCTTTAAAAATTCCTGCTTTATTGAAAAGAACTGAAGAGCTATATCTACAGCCAAAATGAATACAGTAGATATAGCTAAGACTTGTTTCATAGATTACTCCAAGTCTTTTAATAAAATGTTCTTCTGTACCAAGTAACCTACATTTTTGTTTTTCAGACCTCCTTACCTTTGTAAGCAAGTGATACACTTTTATTCTTTGATCTTTTAATTAATTCAGCTGTGATTTTAATTCCATCAACAATTAAACACCTGTACTACATAACTTTGCGCTGATCCATTGTGAAAATTTCCAGATTAGCCACACAGCTCCTGTTAAAGTTAATGATGCTACATGCTAATTGCCCATGTGCCATGTGAAAATTCCCTTATGGTGCTTAATAACCCTTACAATTCCCCATTTCTTACCCTTGCCACCAAATGGTAATAATCAGATTGTGCCACCTGCTATCAGCCCATTCTTACATAAATAACATGGGAAGGAAAAGAAGATACAGCAGGGAATTTTTTCTCATCTTGAGGATTTGAACCATTTTATAGTTTTGACTATATAGATATTAAGCATAAAGCATTGTGCTTATGCTCAATTAATGCATTGAAATGAATATTAATGTAAGATAATACATACTTCTAAGCAACATGTAAGTTCAACTTGATTCAACTTTTAAGCCAAAGTCTGCATAACAAAAGGAAAAATACAAATTAGAAAATACAAATACAAATTACAAAATACAATTTTCTAACTTCTGAAAGTCCCAAAGAAATTCTGGTACCCTTATCAGACGAAGAGCCAAAATTGGCCATGTGGCTTATCAAGATCTGTTCTTGTCAAATTCTTATAGACTTGTTCTTACATGTTTGAATCTGGGGTTAAAGAAACATTTTTCTTGAAAGCTCAGAGAAAATATGGGTAATTTACTTTATTGTTGCTCTTAATTTTACCACTTGAAAGTAATTTTCATACTATGCTTGAAGAAGAAATAATTTGAAACAATAGGGTAATTTTTTATTAAATATGTTACTATTCTCAAGTTAGAGCTACTATTCTCTTCCAAATTATTTACCCTATCGTGACATATTCCATATTAAGGTGACCATCTGGGGATGAATTCTTCATGTTTCCATTATCAAGACCACTATGTCTATTTCCTGCCCCACAAGGAGGTTGGAACTGATGTACCCTGAGTCTCTATTTTCAGCAAAGGATCTAGATCGGGGTGTCCAATCTTCTGGCTTCCCTGAACCACATTAGAAGAAGAAGAATTGTCTTGGGTCACGCATAAAATACACTAATACTAACTAGCTGATGAGCTAAAAAAAATGCAAAAAATTTTCATAATGTTTTAAAGTTTACGAATTGGTGTGGGGCCGCATTCAAAGCCATCCTGGGCTGCATGTGGCCAGCAGGCTGTGAGTTGGACAAGCGTGAGCTAAATGCTGACTTCCTGATAGCTTTCAGATTCCTCTATCAACTAAAAGAACTCACTGAGAGATGCAAAAATAAGAGCCATAATACACTATGAATCCATCTATAAAAATTTTCTTGATCAAGCCAGGTGCAGCGGCACATGCCTGTAGTCAAAGCTCCTTGGGATGCTAAGGCAGTTGGGTCTCTTGAGTCCAGGAGTTTGTGTCTAGCCTGGGCAGCATAATGAGTGGTTCTCAATGGGGACAATTTTGTACCCAAAGACAGATTTGGTAATATCTGAAGATATTTTGGGTTCACAAATGAGGGGTGTGTTACTGACATTCACTAGTTGTAAGCCAGAGATGCTGCTAAATACCCAAACGCATGGGACAGCTCCGCACAATAAAGTATTACCCAATGCAAAATGTTAAGAAATCCTGTTTTTACTATCTAAAAACCCTGTTTTTATTATGTATTATTATATCTAAAATTATTCCAGGGCAGGATCTAGAATATGTTTAATAGATGAGACTATTTTAGGCTACTAAATGACTAAATCTGCTCATACTAAATATAGGAAATATCTTTTAGGGAAGAATATTTACTTCTATTTTTACAAAGATACTTATTTAAATTTTGTTATATTTACATCTTGTTCATGTGGCACTAAGCTTTGTGAGGACAGGGGAAAGGTAAAGACAGTATCCGTTTTGATAATGATTATATTCTAGTGTCAGCACAGGACCTAGTACGGAGTTGCCAGCTTCAACTAACTCACAACACTCCTGTGACATCTTTATTTATTTATGTGTAATTTCTCAAAATAGGTTTTACTAACTATGAGTCCTTATTATTTGCCAATCCATTCTTAGAAGAGAGAATTTTGGGAAGAACATTACCACCCAGAAGACTCTTATTCTTTTCAGGGCAAAATAAATAATTTGATACATCAATACATGAAAAGACTATGTAAAGACATTGCTAAAGGGAAGGCAAGAGTGATTTCCTTTACTGTACCATTACTGTGAAAAGTGAATATGATGACTTCTATTAGAAAAACTTTAAAAATGCATTTAAATTTACCATTGTAGGAAAGGAGTTATATTAGTAGTATTTTCATTCCTGCATATCCATCTGTATACGGCTTTTTTCAAACAAATAACAGCAATATAACAAAGAGAACAATACAACAGCACGAGTATAGAGGAGATACACTCCTATGTAGTATCTTCTCTGAGTATATCCATAACACTTCTCTAAAATGTTAATTTCATTAAAATGTTATATTCTTCTAACTTAAAACTTTTATATTAGTAAACAGAATATACATATTAGTATATTATACTACATTATGTATTACATATGTATTATATATCATATATTTATTATATACAATTATGTTAAATTATATATTAGATTATATTTAATCATAATCATATATAATGTAGTATAAAATATAGATGCATGAAATAAACAATATCTTTTCATATTGGAGATTAAAAATAGAAAAAATGAGGTTTATTATAAAAAATTAACAACAAATAGAACATGAAGAGCCTGTATCATCATTTTGACATATCAGAAAAGTCCAATGGATAAGTTAGAAACTTAAAATGAATATTGGCTAGGCGCGGTGGCTCATGCCTGTAATCCCAGCATTTTGGGAGGCTGAGGCAGGTGGATCACCTGAGGTCAGGAGTTGAATCTTAATTATCCACAAATGCAAGAGTAAAAGAAAAGCTAAGTAATACACAATGATGTGATGCTAATATAAGAAAATTAAATCGTGTTTTCTAAAAATCAAAAACACGGTATAGGAAAAATTAAACAAGATATTTTAAAATTGTACAATTGAACAAGTTGGAATAACTTGTGGTTTTTTGTATGTTCACCCAATGAATAAGTGAAGTAATACCAAAATATATGTTACTAAAATGTGTTAGAGGGGGAGGGCTTTGGTGGAGGATAACAAAACAACTTAGGCAGAAGTTGAAAACTATGTAACATGAGAAAGTAGAAATAGGCAAACTACATTGTCCTATTATTGCATGCCTATGCCTTCTCTTTGTCATTGAATTGCAGAGTGGGAAAGCCATTTCTTGAAAGGATGACTTAAAATATCACTGTTCACTGCAACTTACTTTAAAAAATATTTATGTTTGAGAAAAGCAGAATTCCAATATGTAAAAAAAAGTTGGCATAGATAAAACCATCACAGCAATTAGGTAATTAGGGCTAACAGAAAGCCATATTCTTGCCAAATTCGTAAGATTGCACACTGTTTCATGTTTTCCTGGATACAGATCAGCCTTTTGAAGGAATGAAGCCCACAACTGAGTCAGTTCAAATATTTAATGGATCAAGATAATCTTTCACTAGCCAACAAGCAAGACGAAACTAAAAATAGTATTATTCTGAACCTCAGATTATGTTAACCAAGCTAAAATATCCAGGGACAGATAAACACATGACAACATAGGAAACCAAAAGAGGAAAAAGACAATTAAAATACAAGCCCATAATCATCCAGATTATGAAATTATGCAGCATAAACTATGAAACAACTATGATTAATATGCTAAGGAAAATGTTTTTTGAAAAGCACTGGCAACTACAGAGAAGAAACATTTTGAAATTCTACAACTGCAAATGGAATAACTAAAATTAAAAACTTAATGTATTTAAAATTGAATTA
This sequence comes from Homo sapiens, assembly GCF_000001405.40. Classification (NCBI taxonomy): domain Eukaryota; kingdom Metazoa; phylum Chordata; class Mammalia; order Primates; family Hominidae; genus Homo; species Homo sapiens. The sequence goes on from NC_000010.11 coordinate 57,288,876, forward strand.
GATGCAACTGAACAGAATATAGATAAACTGGAAGACAGAAGAGAAGAAAATGGCACTTTCAAAATATTGAAAGCAATAATTACCAAACCAGAATTTTATAGTCAGCAAAAAATACTCTTTAAGAGTAAAGGTAAAATAAAAGACAATTGGAAATTATATAAGTGGTCACCAGAAGAACTTACTCAAGGATATACTAGATTGTTTGGTAGAAAAATAATAATTATAAATAAACATTCTGCTATGCAGAAATGAAAGATTAAATAGATGAATGCTTTAATATGTGGTTTTATAAAAGAACAGTGATATATCATGAACAGGAACCTATACTTATTTCTATTTATCACTTATGTATCTACTTAAGTGACAACTGTATGACATAAGGCAGAAAGGCATGAATACAAGTAAAGTACTCAGATTAATGCTAATGTAAGGTAAGCTAGAAAATCACTGGTTTATATTAGACACCAAGAACACAGATTTCACTTTCTAGAGTAACCAAAAAACCAACAGTGAAAGAATATGTAACTAATGAGCTAATAGAGTACAAAATACATAAACAATTTTAAAAAGGCAAAACAGAAGAGAAACACAAGTAGAAGGCAAACGCAAAATAGCATATCTATTCTCAAATAAGTCAGTAATCACATTAAAATTAAACAGATTAGCTAGGACCATTGGAGTGATTTACTGAGAAGCTCAGCAAATCCTCTCACCAAAGGCAATGATAAAACTGACAAAAATTTTAATAAAACCATTCAAGACTCTGGAAATTTTATTTTTAATAAGCTGCAATTAAACAAAAGGAACTAGACAAAATAAGCATGGATTTTCAATACTCAGTTTAAAGAATGTGTGGCATTACATTTGTGATGTAGCAATTTGTTCACCAAATTTAATTACACTGAATAGACACTTCTGGTTCTATCTATGTAGGGTAATTGTTAGATCACCTATTAAGCTTGTTGCAATCAGCTCAGGAGGGGGAATTAAAATGCACCTCTGTAGCTTCATTTTGGTCACTCTAAGGTTAGGGACTTCTTTCTTGCATCCAGCTGAGTTCTAAATGCAACCTAATGCTATCTCTTACTGCTCTGAAGGCAAAATAGATAATTGTCTGTAGAGGAAATTGCTTGCAAGATGTAGAGTAAAAGAAAGCTAACATTTCTGAGAACTAGTCTTGACAATAGAGGCTTCTTTTGAATTGAAGCAATTCACATAGTTGGGTAAGAAGATCTGTTGAAGAAAATAGTAGGCTGGCATTGTCAGAACCCTAAGCATTGAAAGGAAATGTCTAAAATGCTGATAATAGTGTAATTATGTTCATAGATTTGTCACTTCTAAGTTTCTTTCAGTTTTCTCACCCATGCATTTTTTAAATATAAGCCCACCTAGAGAATACATTTTGCTTCATTAAAAAGTAATAAAGCCTAGAAAAGCAAGGGTAATGGTATTAGTAGCCAGAAGCTAAAAATTTATTTTCAGTTCTAAATGTATTTGAGAATGAAATATTTTGCTACAGTAAAATAAGATACATACATCTTTTTTGAAAAACAAAGAAGTACTTCTGTATGTACTTTTGCATACAAATTTGCTCCCACCAATGGTAGTGATTTGTTGAGGTAGATGTTGTGATTAAAATTGGGGTCCTGCTGCAATTACTGTGACTATGTACTGAGCTGACAAAGAAAGAATGAAATCAGAGAGTCAGGGGGAGAAAACACTCCAAGGCTGTATGAGAACTACTGTGAATATGGGTGAGTGGAAAATGAGAATCCTGGCAGCAGTCACAGTGACAGGACTGAGAGGTGCAGTGCCTGTGCTATCCAGTGGTAGCTGAGACAATGAAAGCTGGCATTGCATTTAATTCTGAGCCTGGAAGATACCTAAAATTAAATGTTCCTTGTTCACTCGTTTCTTCCCTTTTTACATATTTTGTAAAACCCTGGAGATACAGAAAATACAAATACACATTTTTTAAACAATAGCTAACCTTTGTTGAATGCCAAAGAAATCTCAGGTACAGTTTTAAAGAAGAGCATATTTCTTTCTTACTTCAACAGAATAAGGTAGTTATATTCTTTATCCCAACTGTAAATATGAGGAAATTGATTCAAGGTAAGATGAGTGCTTGAATAATGTTTGACACTGGCAAATTGGCAGAACTAGAATTTGACAATAAGATCTCTGAATCCAGAATGAGCCTTTTAAAAACTAAGAACTCTTCTAGCAATTTTATTTTAAACATTCAATTGGTCATTCAACACATAACTATTTAGATATAGTCTTAAGTTTATGTACAGATAAGTGAAAATTGGCATGATTCCTGCTGCTATAAGGACGGTGTCTCAGAAAAAAAATTAATTTTAAAAACTGAAAAGAAAGCAAATACATGAGCATCAAAAATTCAAATTAAATTTATATTGAGATACTACTACTATACACCTGCCAGAATGACAAAAATTAAAGTGAATAACAAATCCAAATGTTATTAAGAATGGGTAACTCATTATCTCGAATGTTAATGAATGGAGCTCCTGAAATCCTCATATAGTGCTTCCAGGAGCATAACATGAACAATCACTTAGGGAAAATTGTGTTAATCTCTTACAAAGCCAAACTTATCCCTATCATATGATTTAACAACTCTTAGGTATTTGCTAAACAAATGCAAACACATATACATATAAGTATTTATAAATAATATTCCTAGGAATTCTGATCTTTGTAACCAAAAGTCTCTCAAGAGCAAAATGGATGAAACGTATTGTAACACAGTCATAGAACGGAATACCACTCAGTAACTGAAATAGCAAACTTAACAATATATGCAACAATACAAATGAATCTTGAAATGGATAACAAGAATGCAGACATAAAAGAATAGATATATGTGGATAATTTCTCTGCTCATTGGTCAATGAACTTAGGTCGTTTCCACATCTTGGCTATTATGAATAATGTTGCAATGAACATGAGAGTGCCGATATCTCTAATGAGGTGCTGATTTAATTTTCTTAGACTTAAAAGTCAGTAACATTAAGATTGTTTGAATGTTTGAAAGGGTCAAAAAGGCACTGCTTTAAATCTTGCTAGTTCTTAAATAATTTTGCGATCACAATCACCCTTATGGGAAATCAAGTCTCTTTTCCATGAGACAATGTTAATGTGATGATAGCGTGGATTTGAAACTTTCTGTGAATTTCATTTTTAATTTGGAGCTCTTCTCTTTGGACAGATTGTGGGCAAAGAACAGTTTTATGTTGGAACTCTGCAAGTCCTGGCTCCTTATACTCTTCCAAATTACGTTTGAAAACTGGGACATTTGATTTTTCGTTCATCTACTTTTCTCACGTTAAATGGCACTCAGCATAGTGGCACACACCTGTAGTCCCAGTTACTCCAGAGGCTGGTCACTTGAGACTGGGAGAATGAGGCTACAGTGAACTGTGTTCGTGCCACTGCACTCCAGTCCGGACAACAGAGCAAGATTCTGCCTCAAAATAAATAAATGAATAGGCACATAATAAAAAGCCTCTTTAGCATTTCCATCACTCGCATGGAAATCTTAGCCAGACCATGGAGTTCATTAAGTTCAATTACTATTTTCCATGCTATTGCAGGCAAGAGCATTGTCAAACTCTCTACTACAGCATAAGAAGAATTCTCTATTATCCAAATTCCAATAACATTTTCTTCAGTTTCCTTAAACTCTCAACAGTAGTCTTTTCACATGCTTGAAGTTTGTGCTATCAAATTTCTCAAGGTTTTTCCAGCTCCTGTCTTCCACCAGGTCCCAGATTCAGCCACGTTTTAAGTTTTGTTTATTTGTTTATTTTTTAAATGGAAGCATCCTACCTCTGGGTATTGAATTTTGTTCTGTTTATTATTGCTGCACAATAAAGCACCCCCAAATTAACAAATTTAAATAACTATTTTATTTTGCGTACAATTTTGTGGGTCAATAATTTGGAAATAATCAGCTGGGCTGTTCTTACTGGAGACTGCATGTGCAGGCAGGTGTTGGCCGGACCTGTTGTCTACTTGATGCCTATGATGTCGCTCTCAGATGCATAGCAGTTAATACCAGTTGTCTGCTGGGAGTTCATCTGAATGATCTACCAGAGCACCTACATATGACCTCTGTAACATGGTTGTTTTAGAATTGTTTATATTTCTTACACAGCTGATCACTTCTTCTAGAGATAAAAAAAATCCCAAAGAACTATGAGGAAGCTACATGACCTTGTCTACCCTTGCCTCAGAAGTTACAGAAATGACCTTTGCATTATATTGGTTAAAGTTGTTTCAGATTAAAAGGAAAGAGCATAGACACTATTCCTTGATGGGAATAGCCCCAAAGAATTTGCAGTAATATATCTGACCAATGAGCAAAGAAATTATCCACATATATCTATTCAAAATGATCATAAGATAAAAGATTTATGATGCAATCTGACTTTCTAAATATATTTGCTCTAATACAGCTTCACTTTTGATGTTTTTGAGATTTTTCTATACTTACCTCTAATATAGCAATGGTGCTGCATTATTCTTTATGGTTTCATTGATTTATGTATTTGTATTTATTAAATGGTAATCAGAAGTCACCTGGCAATTTTCTTTTCTCTCTTTTCATTCAAATACTCCCCAACAAAAGCCAAAGAAGAACATGAGGCACTTCTTTAAAAAATTGTCAGAACAATTACAAATTATTTTTCATCAGCTTTTGAGATGAATCCTCTTCTTTGGCACCTTTTTATCTGTGAGTATGAAGAAATGTTTTCTCCAACTTCATTCTTTGGGATGTATCCTATAATTGTTTATCTACTTGCTTGTTTTTTTTTTTTTTTTTTTTTTTTTTTTTTTTGAGACGGAGTCTCGCTCTGTCGCCCAGGCTGGACTGCGGACTGCAGTGGCGCAATCTCGGCTCACTGCAAGCTCCGCTTCCCGGGTTCACGCCATTCTCCTGCCTCAGCCTCCCGAGTAGCTGGGACTACAGGCGCCCGCCACCGCGCCCGGCTAATTTTTTGTATTTTTAGTAGAGACGGGGTTTCACCTTGTTAGCCAGGATGGTCTCGATCTCCTGACCTCATGATCCACCCGCCTCGGCCTCCCAAAGTGCTGGGATTACAGGCGTGAGCCACCGCGCCCGGCCGTTTGTTTTATAATCTATGTATTATTTCCAGGTTGGCTTATTTACAAAAATTACTCACCATTGACTAGTAAGAGCTGTTTCCTTGGGTCAAGTTATGTGTAGGTGACAGTAAGTACAGTAATGGGGGATTTGAATATTTTATTTCTAGTATTAGTTATTTAACCTTTTCAAACGTTTGTTTTTTTCTTTTATCTTGGTTAATATCTATTCAGTGTTCTTGTTTAATATGTGAGTGTGGAAAAGTGAGTTTGTAATAAGTACACTTTAACTTTATTATTGCTATTTTCCTTGAAATTATATTTTAAATTGCTTTATTGTATTATAGGATAACTTTAAGCCAATCCCCTTCTCTTAAAACTCTTTCATTAAAGATGATGAAACGAAATACAATTATTTCATTCAACTAGCTGTGGTATCAGAATTCATGTGATCTGGGATAAATGGTTTTGGTAGAGCTTACCCCAAGGTGATCTTTTAAAAAGATAAATTCAGATATCTAATCTACAATTAATTATTTCTCTCTCCATGAACTTTCCTCCCTTATGTTATTAGTGCCGTCTGATATAATTTAGATAATTACCCAACCAATATTCCTTTGAACTTGCAGAGAGAAAATAAGCAATTTTTGAAAATGTCATTAATTTTAGTAGGTCACTTGGGTCAAAGTCAGAAAAAATATTGCTTTAGGTTGGACAAAACAGTGCCCTTGTGATTTAAAACAGTTAATGCAATTTCCTTACTTAAAATTTAATTAATGCTGGGATTTAACACATTTGAGAATCTTTGTGGCTAATTTCCAGTTGGCAATAAATTCTCTTGGTTTCAGTTCTGCTTAAGCAAATTATGCAAAAGCGATATATTTAGATGCTATCTATTTCCTTTGTTTCTGAGTTTTGACTCTGAGCAACTTGTGACAGAGTGCACATCAGAGAACAAACTTTTGGCAGAGAGATATAGCAATGATGCAGATCAATTTCAAACCTAAAACAGGCCAAGGGCAATCTTCCCTGTGTTCACTTGTCACCATATTTTCCTGTCATACATCCTCAAAATGGTTAGCAATGAACATTTATTTAGAAGCAACTGTACAATATGAGAATGATTAATGTATTGTTAAAACTAAATTCTACTGTCATCTGCTACTCATAACTCTTTAGCTCCATCTCTTATGAGTGTGATAACTGTGTAACATATACTTCATCTTCCGTATCCTTGTGTGGACTTGTTTTAGACCACATAAGATAGGCAGACATTTTACGGCATCAGATTCTCTAAAAAATACATAACTTTGATGCTATATAAATGAGTTCATAGAAAAAGATAAGAAGTTCCCAATTAATTTGTAAAATCAGAATTGATTATCCAATACTGATAAATATGCTATGAAAAACGAGACGTTATAAACTTCTTAATAAATACAGATACCAAAACTCTAAATAAGATAGATGTTAGCTATTAAAAAACAAGTTTAATTTATGACCAAATTTGGTTAAATTCAGTGATGAAATACTAACCAAATCTGTCAATGTAAACAATTACATCATAAAGAACAGAATGTAAGATATTATTACAGAAATAGATACTAAAAATGAGATTTAGTAATGTTTTGTCATCATTACCAATAAAAACTCCAAGTGAAATAGAAATAGAAGTAATTTCATATAATAAAATTGTCTTTATAAAAAATTATCAAATATTAACTAGATATTGACATTAGAAGAGTATTTCAAGAATTATATGAGGTGCCTAAAACTGTGATTCAACATTGATTTATAGGTGAAACTCATCAATATTCAAAGAACTCTAGGAAGAAGATTCACAATGTCTAATATACGAAGATCTTGAAGGATTTTGTTATGTTATGAAAATAATCTTTTCTGTGTCAAAGGTATTTGGCAGCTTTATATTAATAATGTTTAAGTTTGGTCCATACCTGATATTTCCATTTTTACTAAGATCTCTGCTTAATGAATTTGGGTATAAAAAGCATAAGTCGAATAAATGTGATATTACCCCTGTTATGCTGTGATAGTAGCTATAAAATTTTTAAAGAATGTGGCAGAACCCAAATACTGACTTTTAAAGCTCAAAATTATAAAAGTACTTGTCAAAATATCTGTTTTTTAATATCAAAACAATCTTAGGAACAAATAAAGGAAACACCAGAACGATTCTTTAGAAATAGTGACAGAATACCTTAAAAAAAGACAAGTATAGGGTACATGTTGTTTTACTTTGTGGGCTCATTACAGATGTCCTCAGGCAGGCTGTTTTGCCTTGAAACACAAACTGTATATGGCTGAACTGAGGAAAGCAGTTATGCTTTTGAGACCAAATGAACATATGGAAAATATTCCATTAATACACGATATTTACATGGAAAATCACTTGCCTCTTTTGTATTATAAGCTTAAAAAATAAGCTATTTCTGATCATGGAAATAATTCACGGTCCATGTAGATAATTTGAGAAATACTAAAATGTAAAACAATCAAATAAAAAAAGTCAACAAATTCAACAGAACAATGATAACTATTAATGATAATTTGTATTTTAAATATTTTCTATGAAATATTTATATAAAATACATGTATTCTGACATGAAGTTTATATATATTTTATATGTATATTGAATACACAGATATGTTTGCATATGTTACTGTAAACTGGGATTTTTAATCTTTGTGAGACTTCTATAAAAATATATATATTCTTACACAATTACTATATATTAATATATATAATTATATATTTATATGTTGTCACTTTATGTTTAACATTATTATATAGCTATTTCTATCCTTATATGTTTACTACAATTTAGGATAGTCTATTGCATTAAACATTTCTTTAAGCATCTTAATGACTATATAACTTATCAACTTTGGGTTGATTTTCATGGGCTTATTAGAAATGTTATATTTGGTGCTAATAAAAATAATATTGCTTCTTTTGTTTTTAAAAATTTTTTGTTAAGTAGAGAAGGGGTCTCACTATGTTGCCCAGGCTGGTCTCAAACTCCTGAGCTCAGTTGCTCTTCCCGCTTGGGCCTCCCAAGGTGCTGGGATTACAGATGTAAGCCACTGCGCCTGGCTATATTTCCTCTTTTCTAACAATTAAAGTTATTTAATTATTTTTTTCTTATTGCAATGACTAGAAACTTTCACATCACTATTATGTGATAAAGGTGAAAATCAGAATCTGTTTTGTATTTCTAACCATGATAGTATAGATCTTGTCCTTCACTAGTACATTGATGATTGGGCTTATAGTAAAATAAAGAGTTCTCTATCATGTTAAGGAAGTATCCTATTATTCCTAGTGAGATTTTACTAATAATCAGCACTGATTTCTATCAAATGTCATTACAGTATGATTTATCATCAAATTTTAAACTAGGTCAGTTGAAGTACTTATAGTTTTAAAAATAATTTATTAATCACCTACTGTTTTGCAATAGAGGAATAGTTCTGTTCCATTATTCCGGGCTATTATTTCATTTACTTTGGATTCAATTGGAAAGAATATGTAAAACATTTTTACTACATATTTAGAACAGTGATGGATTTCAATTAGTATTTTCTAAAGTTATATGACCATAACAATAAACCTATGAAAAAGTACATTTAAAAGGTCTTCGCCTTTTTAATGATTTTGCAAAATTCTACATACAACTTCACAATTCACATCAGCATATTCAAGGTTATTAAAGGTTCAAGGACATCACAAAATAAAGAAATTTATTCTATTTTATTTAGCTTAGAGCATTCCAAATTTATTTGAATGTGGCATTTTTTTTTTTTGGAACATCTACTAAGAAACTGCTTTGTGCTATTCAGAACATATTTTGGAAATACTAGCTTAAATAAATGTTACCATTCCACTAATTTTTATAGATAATCAGTTATTTTTCTATCTTAGTATTTACTACTACATTTACGCAAAATAGGTGCTATTCCCTATTTTTTCTCATGTTGAACTTTTTCACAGAATGAGCACATCAGGTTTGGCTGCCTATACCTTTTAACTGAAATGTTCCCAGTAAAATGATGAATCTTATTAAGAATAATCAAACCTAACAAAATAGCACAAAAAGGAAAAAATTACCAAAAGAGACATAGCTTAGGCAAGGTAAGTCACTTCATTTTGGAAAGGATTATGTTTTCAAAGAATGAAAGTAATACTACTATGAATAACTGTAACAAAAATATAAATATAATTAAGCTTTAATTTACAGCTGACTTTCACATACATCTTACTATTTACACACACATACACACACATGACGAATTAATGTTCACTCAAGGAGATGACTTTTCCAAAGTGAAAGTTTGTGACCACAGAATTGAAGCCCCAGGTTTAGTCGTCTAGTCTAACTGGCCCTCACTATGTCACAATGTTAAATGTATGTTTCTCACTCTATTACAAAAAGAAGAAAGTGTGGCAGGGACAGCAAATACCATGTTTTCTGCAAATTGCTTCCTCTTACTAGTTAGAAAACTCTTTTTCCAGCCCCAGTTGCAGGGAGGTTAGGGGCAAAATGACTGAGTTCTGGACAATAAATGTTTTCTGCAAACTGTTATAAGTTAGGTAAAACTCAGACTGCTTCTCAAAATATTCTGTACAATTCTTTAACCCTTTCTTTCTTATCTTTACATCACAGAACCTATATTTAAGATGTAAACGTCAGTAGATGAAAGAGACCTAAATCTTTGACTCACTGCTTGAAGGAGAGTCCAAAGGAAATGGTCCAGCACTAATCTGATGGTTTTAGTGGAAAAATAAACTTTCATTATGCTAAGTCCCTAAAATTTGAAAGTTGTTTGTTAGAGCAATTAGAGTTAATCTTTCTGAAAAATACTAGGACCTATCTGTTCTGAATTGACTTGATTTAAACCTTGCTTTTGTTTTGCTTCCCCTTCCAATTTATGCATTTTGTTATATTGAAGATTAAATACCTAATTTAAAACTGTTTATGAAAAGCCACTTGAGATTGAGAATTTAATTTCCAACTTAAAAAAATTATCAATGAACTATTTGAATTGTTGAGTATCTTTCTATAAAGAAATATAAAACAAAGATAAAAATAGAATAAATTTTAAATGCAGTGAATTTTCAATTCAATTAAAAAATTGAATTGATAAAAATAAGGACAATGATTTGAACCCCTCAGATATTTAGAACCGAATATTATGTTACAATGCTCTTTTTAAGAGTACAAAAAAACTCAAAATTTTAAAATCAAGCAGTGACAAATGAATATTGAAAAAGTAAATTCACTTTTGTACATGGTAATCTAGGATTCAAGAACATTTTTACTTATACTCCTCAACTTTATTGTTCTTATTATAATTCTTATATATTATTAAAAATTGTCTTAATGATTAGAAATCCAGTTAATAAATTAGAGTACACATATTATAGTAGCATAAGTTGAGATATAATGTTAAATCCTATTAAAGGACAGTTTGTTTGTGTTTTTTGTCGCCCAGGCTGGAGTGCAGTAACGCCATCTCTGCTCACTGCAAGCTTCGCCTCCTCGGTTCACGCCATTCTCCTGCCTCAGCCTCCCGAGTAGCTGGGACTACATGCGCCGCCACCACGCCCGGCTAATTTTTTGTATTTTTAATATAGACGGGGTTTCACCGTGTTAGCCAGGATGGTCTCGATCTCCTGACCTCGTGATCCGCCTGCCTCGGGCCCCCCAAAGTGCTGGCATTACAAGCGTGAGCCACCACGCCCAGCCTAAAGGACAGTTTTTAAGACTGGTAGCTAGACTTATACAAATTTGATATAAGAAAAATTATTAAAGTTTGAGTAAAAATATGTAATTCTCTCATTTTTATTAACATGGTTGTTTTCATAATAATTTATTCTAGAAAGAAGTGGCTTTTTTTCTGACTCACAGTCTATACTAGTTATTACAATTTTTTGCTGTTAGGAAAATGGGTTTACTGATTAATCTGTAGCTCTCCACCACAGTTTCTCATTCTCCCCTTTTAGCCAATTCCATGGTGAAGTAAGATCTACAGAAAACCTTCAGCCAATATTTGTACTTAATGATGAAAATTTGAATATTTTCTACCTAAGATCAGGGAAAACTGAATATTCTCTGCCTAAATCAGAAATTGGATGTCACCATCCAATTTCAAAATTTATTATATAGTACAGAATTCAAGACTTCGTGATAGTAGCAGAGGAATAAATAGGTAGATCAATGGAACTGAATAGAGAACTCAGAAATGGACCCATACAACTACACCCAAATGACTTTTTTATGATGATGCAAAAGTAATTCAATGAAGGAAAGACAGCATTTTAAACATGTGATGCTGGAGCAATTGCCTTCACAAGCAATAAATAAATAAATACCCTCAACCTAAATCTCACACATTTTATACAAACTCAAAATAGATCAAGGACTTGAATGTAAAATGTAAAACTACTATACTTTTGCAAAAGACATAAAAGAAAATCTTTTAAATCAAGGGCTGGCAAAGAGCTCCTAGACTTAGTATCAAAAGTGTAATACATTAAAAATAATTTTTGATATAATGTGCTTCATCAAAATTTAAAAGAACAAAAATATTTGCTCTCTGAAAGAACCTATTAAGCTTTAAAAAGAAGTTTGCAAACTATCTTACAAAGGACTAATGTCGATAATATATGAAGAACTTTAAAAATTCAACAGTTAAAACAGCAAACCGTCCACTTAGAAACTCAGCAAAAGACATGTTACCAAAGAATATATACAGATGGCATATAAGCCCTTGAAAAAATGTCCAACATTATTAGACAATAGGGAAATGCAAAATAAAACCAAAATGTGATATAACTACATACCTATCAAAATGTCTAAAATTAAAAATAGTGACAAAACTAAAATGCTGACAAGATGAAATCAGATCACTCATACACTGTTGATGGAAATATAAAATGGTATAGCCATTATTACAAACAGTTTAATAAATTAAATAACTAAAAATGTAACTATCATACAACGCATAAATTGCATCCCTGAGCGTTTATTGTGAGAAATTAAGACATATTCACACAAAAACCTATATATGAATGTTTATAGAAGCTCAATTTGTAATAACTCAAAATTGAATATGACCTAGTTGTCCTTCAATAGCTGAACGGTTAAACAAATTATGATGCATCCATATCATCAAATGATACTCAAAGGTATAAAGGAAGAAACTTTTGATATACATAAAAATGTAACGAAATTGCTACAAAGTTATGCTGAAATGTAAAGAAGCCAATCCCAACAAGTTATGGTTACACGTTGCGTGATTCCTATTATATCACTATTTTTTTTTTTTTTTTTTTGAGACAGAGCCTCACTCTGTCGCCAGGCTGGAGTGCAGTGGAGCTATCTTGGCTCACTGCAACCTCCGCCTCCTGGGTGCAAGAGATTCTCCTGCCACAGCCTCCCAAGCAGCTGGGATTACAGGCACCCGCCAACACGTCTAGCTAATGTTCGTATTTTTAGTAGAGACAGGGTTTCATCGTGTTAGCCAAGATGGTCTCAATCTCTTGACCTCATGATCCGCCCACCTCAGCCTCCCAAAGTGCTGGGAGTACAGGCATGAGCCACCATGTCCCGCCCATAACATTCTTGAAAAAACAAAATTATAGAAATTGAGAACAGATTAATGGTTGTCAGGGTTTATGGAGGAAGTGAAAGTGAGAGAGAAGTAAGTGTGGCTACAAAGAACATTATGAATGGAAATGTGATGGAAATATTCTGTACATTGAATGTAACAATATCAATATCCTGGTTGTCATCATTGGAGGAAACCCAGTCGATTATACCCCACATCTCTCTGTATTATTTCTTATACCTACATGTGAATCTACAGTCATTTTAAAGTAAAATATGTGATTCAAAAGAAAAAAAAAGGTAATGAGTTGAAATTGCATGCTTTGGCCAATTAACACTAAATTATAAGTCCTATTTGATAAAATATGATTCAATTAGTAAATAAAGCACAGGTAAACTTTAGCAGACTTTTGGCAAAATGTGAAATTTGAACTTTACACATTTCGTTTGACCAGAGAAATATTTTGAAAAAGAAGACTGCATTAGTTTATTATGGCTGCCATAACAAAATACCACAAACTGGATGCCTGAAACAATAGAAATTAATTTTTCGTAGTTCTGCAGGTTAGAAGTCCCAGAACAAGATGTCAGAATTTTTTATTTCTACCGAGGCCTCTCACCTTGGTTTGCAGATGGTGTACTCACGTGGCCCTCTCTTCATCTCTGTGTTGTCTACCCTAATCTCTTCTTATAAAAACACCAGTCATATTAGATTAGGGCACACCTATATGACCTAATTTTACCTTAATTACCTGTTTAACAGCCCTGTATCCAAATACAGACATATTCTGAATTATTACGGGTTAGTGCTACAACATATGAATTTTGAGGGGGACATAATTCAGCTCATAACAGAGACCAACATGTAGAAATTAAGGAATTCCAAATAAAAATGTAGGTATCTACGTTATTTTTACAGCCTGCAATTAGTTCTAGCAACAATTGGTAGTACCTGAGAAATAAATCCCTGCTTCAAAAGCACATGCACACGTGCACTCAAACATCTGTAAAATTCATGCCACACACACACACACACACACACACACACACACACACACACACACTGTTGTCTTCACACCTTTATTAAATGACTGGCTTTTGTGGCATTGAGCTTGTGATGTCAGGAATAAGGAATCACATAGTTTCTGATGGAGTAGGGAGGGAAAAGTCAAGAGAAAGACTGAAAGGAGATGTGTGAGAGCTCCATAAACAAACAGCCTTCTTTATAATTTTGTGAGCAATACTCTTCAATTGTTTGGAAGCAGAAACTAGCTGGTTTGCATTTGCAGAGAGCAGACAATTTCTCCCTCAAAAGATTTTAAAAACGTTGTATCAAAAATGAATTAGTCTGTTATTTCAATCTTTCTTTTTTCTTCTTTGTTTGATGAGGAGTTGACTTCTTTTTACCAGGCTCTGTCCTCTCAATTTAGTAAGTCTACTTATGGCATATAGTGCACTGAACTGGTTTATTGAGAGCATTTCTATTATCATAAATAAATGGTCATTCTTAATTCAAACCATTAAACCAGGTTGGCAACCATGTCATTGTAGTTTGTGCATAAAAATATTTTGCTAGGTGAGGACAGCCAATTCTTTATTAGCATGAAAGCTACAAAAGAAAAAAAAAAGATAAGTGACAGGTATTTCCTTAAATGCAAAGCAAAAGTACAAATTCTACACAGTACAAAATGGAGAAGGGATATGAGATGTGAAGAAGCAAACGATAATTTTATTTTACACTGGAGCATAGAGGGAGCTTATTGACAAAGGCCTGGGGTTGTATTTGCATCCTTGCAGTACACTATTTAGTCGTGAAGATTTACTTAGTGGAAAGTCACTAACCAGCTTATTAAAAGTCAAACAATACCTGGAAAAAAATTCATGTATGCCATTGCAATTACATAAGGCCATTTTATTTATAAAATAAAAAATTTATAAAGCAAATAATGAATCAATATAAAAATAAAAGTTTATATTTGCACCGTGTTTTTATTTCTGTTATACCAGTTGATTTTAGTCTAATAAATTTATGAGGAAAATTTAAACAAAAATGTGTTTCCCAAGAACGTTTATATTTGCCTCTACCAAGTGGCCTCTGTGTTTCCCAGTAGGGATGCTGACTCAGCAAAATCAGCATTCATGACTCTAGTTGTCCAATATAGGGAGACAAAATGGCCAATTTAAGTCATTGTGCTTTGTCTTTCTCTCACAGACAGACAGACACACACGCACACACAAACACATGCACACAAAGAAATGATAAGGTTCAATGAAATACTCCATACATTTCCTTCAATTTTACTTTATAATTTTATAATTCTAAGGGTTTTTTTTAATTAAATGATCTTGTCCATATAGGGCACTGGTAAATAAAGTAAAGTCTAGAGAAATCACAAATGCAAGTTGAACTAGAATTTTGTTTAGAGATTTCTAGGGTAATAAGCAGATGAAGTAAATCTTTTCTTGCATCTGTGGCCCCCAAAAGAAATAACTTGTCACTCTAAATTATCTTTGAGACAAAACAAATTTGTCAGCTATAGTTGTCAGAAAACTGTAAAGTGATGTACTTTAAAATAAAAATTTTAACACCTTTTTCCTCCCTAATCTCCAGATATATTGGAAGTCATGAAATTAAAATGCAGTGTTAGGATAATATTTGCCTTTTTGGTAAATATAATTTATAATCTTAAATTCAAGTGTTAAATATTGAGTCTTTCCTTGGCTTTAGGATTAAACAATAGGTGATGCCAAAATATGAGAAAAGCATCTTCCAAGGTACAATTGCATATCTGTTACATACCTGCATACATAGAAAAGAGAAAGATAGGGGTAAGAGAATTAAACAAAAAAGTAGCAGTCACATATACATATCTGTATATATGACATAGATCTGCATATTTGACTACTACTTTTTCATTTATTTTAATTTAAATACATATTTATGTACACATATGTGCGCATACATGTATCTCTCTGTGTGTATCTATATATTTGTTTTGGAAAATATCAGGTTCAATCAGTTTAACCAGGTTTACTTTTCACAGGACATTTCAGAGTATTTAAAAACTATACTGCATTAAAAATCTCCAGGAAATGATGTATGTGAAGAGCTCCAGAGTGTTGTTTCTCATAGAAAACTTTTTTCATAGAGAAGTTTTTTCATAGAAACATTTTTTTTTAATTTCCAATTTTTATTTTAAGCAGGGGCACATGTGCAGGATGTGCATGTTTGTCACATAGATAAACTTGTGCCAGGGTGGTTTGTTGCACAGATCATCCTGTCACCCAGGTATTAAGCCCAGCATCCATTAGCTACTCTTTCTGATCCTCTCCTTCCTCCCACCACTCACTCTCCAACAGGCTCCAATGTGTGTTGTTCCCTCCCATGTGTCCATGTGTTTTCATCATTTATTTCCCACTTACAAGTGAGAACATGCAATCTTTGGTTTTGTGTTCCTGCATTAGTTTGCTAAGGATAATGGCCTCTGCCTCCATCCATGTTCCTGTGAACTCCTCTCTAACTCATTCTATGAGGCCAGCATCATCTTGATACCAAAACCTGACAGAGATGCCATAAAAACAGAAACCTTTAAAGCCAATGTCCTTGATGAACATAGATACAAAAATCCTCAACAAAATACTGGCAAACTGAATCCAGCAGCACACCAAAAACCTTATGCACCACGATCAAATAGTCTTCATCCCCAGGATGCAAGGCTGATTCAACATACGCAAATCAATCATTGTGATTCATCACATAAACAGAACTAAAGACACAAACCACATTATAATATCAATAGACACAGAAACTTTTAAGATGTCAATCTTCCAGAGTCAGTGACTGTCTCTATTACTTGGGATTTGTAGTTAATTTGTTTCTATTCTTACTAATTTAGAAAACACAATTTCAAGTTCTTGCAAAACAAAACACCTGATGTTTTTCAATAATTTTGTTTGTACTATGATGACATGCAAGAAACAAAAAATAACAATTTTCAAAAACCCATTTAAATGCTTTCATTTGCTAGAGTTTACTTCTCTGGAAATTTCATCCTTCAAGACAAATGAGAACCAGAGAATAAAGAATAAAGTTCTCCAAGTAGTCAAATAAAATAACTACAAGCGACGTTTACAAAAAAAGTAATGGTTATACATAATTCTTAGGTGGGCCATTTAGACAAGGAAAAGTAACATCATATTTTAATCTCTTAACTCACAGACACGTAGAAATTGTCAGTTTTCTGGAAATGGAGGAATAAGAGAACTGTCTCAAGAAGATAGGTAGGTCCACTGACAACATTGTGAGGTGCCCTAAAGATAAAAAGAAGTAATACAAAGCTGTCCAAGAAAACATAAAAAATCAAAGTATAATATCTTGGACTAGTTAGGAGATAAATTACCCTCAGTGTTATCAAAGAACAATAATCAATATTGTAGATATGTTTATGATTAAAACTACATTGTCAAGTAAAAGTTGAAATTCATTTAAAACATTTTATAAACACAGGACAAGTTAGACAAGCATGGACTCTACATGGAAACCCAGGTCTAATTCACCTTAAACTCCTTCTAGATTTGACCATTAGACATTAATGACCTCTTAAAGCATCAACCTCCTCATCTGTAAAATATCCATAATAAAATATCACCAACATTGGAGTCCTGGAGAAGATTAATCATTCCTTGGTTCCTAGTGTGTGCTAATAGAAACTATTATGCCTTCTATTTCTGTTACAACTATTACCAGGGAAAAGTACACGGAAGTTTCATTAACAGATTTATAACATATTGTTAATAAGAACAAAATTCCCAAACTTTCTTTGTTGAAAAACAACTCATTCTCTCATTTACGCTGTGTGAATCACACGTGAACTCAAAATGTTTTTTTCTATTTTCTCACTCAACAACCAATAACATGCATAGGGGACTTTTGTGACCAAATATGTGTTTGTTTTTTTTTTCTCTCACACACCAAGCAAACAATCAATTCTGCAGTGGATAGAAGCTGAGTCTCCTCCAATTCAATTCTGGCACTATCTACCTAAAGACAGCATCAGATCTCACCAGTTGAAGGCTCAGTCCCCACGACCACCTCCTGCTCCACTTCAGGTATAAGTCATAAGTCTGGGCATCAAGAATATCTGACCAACCAGCTTCAAGTTGGGGTTGCCACAATACCCTCTTTGAGTTTGATTAAGTTGTTCAGCAACTCTCAGAACTCAGGGAAACATGTGCTTACATTTACCAGTTAATTATAAAGGATATTACAAAGAATACAGATAAAGAGATACACAGGATGAGGTACAGGGGAAGGGGTGCAAAGCTTCCATGCCCCCCTGGTCTCAGGAATCTCCCCGTGTTCAGCTATGTGGAAGCTCTCTGAATCCTGGTTTGGGGGTTTTTAGGGAGGCCTCATTATGTAGGCATGATTGATTAACCTATTGGCCATCGGTGATTAACTTAACCTTCAGCTCCTCTCCCTTCAGTCTCAATCCTTCCATCATACCTTGGTCTTCCCCATCCTGAAGTTGCCTATGAGCTGCCAACCATCAGTCAATTATTGGCATGCAAAAGGACATAACTTTGGAGATTCCAAGGATTCTAAGAGTTATATGCCAGGAAATGGGGATGAAGACTAAATATATATTTCACAGTATCACACTGGGTAAACTGCTTTTATTCAATATCACACTGCGTAAACTGCTCTTATTCTTTTGGTGAAGTGGTTTTTGTTATAAATTTCCCTTCTGAAAAATTTTATCCTCCCTGCCTTTAATCACTACAAAGGAAGATAGGACTTTCTTTTAAAAAATACTGAATATTTTAGTGTCTTTAACATCTTTTTGTTTGTTTGTTTAAACGTAAGCCAACCTGGCCACCTTGTTACTCAAGATGGAACACAATGAGGCTGTTGGGAGTTTATGTTGTGCCCTCCAGACTCTCCTTGGAATTGGCTCTCTTTTCCTCCTTCCGCAGTTGGGATAAATGCAAAGACTTTTATTCTGTGATTTATAAAGACTTTAGAAGACTCTTGAGCAATTATCTTTTTCTGAATTGGGATAAAAGTCATTCTCTCAAGTGTCATCTCTCAGAGCATTTCGTTTTTTATACTTTGTGTAACACTTCCAAAATTGATGTCATAAAAGAGACAACAGATTGCTTCAGGATTCCTCAAATCTTAAAAGAAATATTAAACTTAGATTTTCAATCTGATAGTTATCTCGACAAAAAAAAAATGAGTATATTTTGGATCGAGTTTGACGACCTCCATTTAATGAAATGCCAGCATAGGATATCAATGCCTGGTTTGAAGCTTAAATTATTTCCCAAAAGAGATAACATTTAGCATTTAATGTGCTAGTAATTGCCAGGATGTCCGGTGTCTTAAATTGACATAATATAATGCTAAAATTACAACAGTCTTACACTTGTGTAGTTAGATTGAATTCTTTTGGCAGATTTAAAGGTAGAACTTCTCTAATACAGTGATAACTAAAGGAAATTTTTTTCTAGACAAATTGACAGATTTGTCATTTTAGTTTTTAAATATCTTAATATATTGATTTGACAGAAGAAAAACAAAGACTGTGGCAGAGTAACAACTACTTTAAATAACAGAATACTTTTTAAAATTGTAAATGATGTATTTTGGGCAAGTAAAGGGTAAGTTATGTCATGGAGTCTCATAAAAATGTGAATTTCTCAGTTATAGTCAAGGCAAGTGGTGGCAAAATTTGAACCTAATGTTAATAGAAATGTTGAATTCAACAGTATTTTGACAGTTATTACCATAATAAATCATAGAGGTATTATTGCAATCTTCCCTTACAGAAAATAACCTAAAATAGTTCATTAGTAGTAAGTATATTTTTCTGTTACTAATAAGTTGAGATCCCCAGATGCCTCCAGCAATAAATAGGTATCCATTTTACTTCAGAAAGTGCTCTGTTCTACTTTATTTAAGGTGATTAGTCTCAACACCAAATAGTAATATTTTTAATGAAAGTTTAATCATCTTATTCTCATTTATCCATGATCCAAAACAGTTTAACACCCAGTTGGCCATTATTAAAAATAACAACAACAACAAAAACCACTAACAACACTTTGTCTTAAATTTAACTCTGAAAGTACCTTTTGGTATTATGAAATATGCTTGTATTTGAAATTCAATTTCTATTTTGAGCAAAGTGTGCTTGTTACTATAAATTTTAAAAGATCAGCAGCTTTTAGAACTTTATATTATTTTAATAAAATCTATAGTAAAACATTTTTGAGACAATTTTTTTGAAAATTAAAATAAAATCCTGTCTATTTTCATTGTAAATGTAAGATAGCTTTTATTTTTTCAGTTATGTTCTCTAAGGGTTAGACTTTCTGTCATTAAAATCTCCAAATAAATAACAAGCAGCAGTTAATGAGCTTTTCCTAACCTATTTTAACCTTTCATATTCCTACCATCTGCTTTTAATAATATATAATTTATAACTTATTTAGTTATTATAATATTAATTTACCTGCATTTTAATGAATAAAAATCTTAAAGGCAATCTCTTGCTTTAGACTAGAAAACATCAGTATATCTCAATGTATCATCCTTGGAAATTTTAGATATATACATGAGTTTTTTTTGTTTTTGTTTTTGTTTTGGCAAAAAGACAAGTATGTCTTCTCTCTGATGTTAGTATTGCCTTTCACTTTATAGGAACATAAAATTTTAGTCATTAGAACATTTAGAGATAGGTGTATTAATCAAAAAGCTAGATAAGATGATGGTATGAGAGTCCTGTCCTCTGCCCTAATGAAGTAAACTTCCAGTTATAGCGAGTGCTGGGCAAAGCAGGAGTGTGATTATCATCCCAAAACGGGCAGTCTATAGGGTCTTTCTAGCTTCCCATTACCCTATGGAGTTGGTTGAGGCATTTGTTGTGACTGCATTGTGGCCAATTCCTCCTCCTCCCAATGTTGTTTCCTTTCCTTTCTTTACTGTTATAAATCCTGAGAGTACTTTCTAATGAGTTTCCTGTATGCAGATTTCTATTTTTTGTTGTTGTTTTTGAGATGGAGTCTTGTTCTGTCGCCTAGGCTGGACTGCAGTAGCTTGATCTCAGCTCATTGCAACTTCCGCCTCCCAGGTTCAAGAGATTCTCCTGCCTCAGCCACCCAAGTAGCTGGGATTACAGGCATCCGCCACCATGCCCAGCTAATTTTCGTATTTTTAGTAGATACTAGGTTTCACCATGTTGGGCAGGCTGGTCTCAAACTCCTGAGCTCAAGAGATCTACCTGCCTTGGCCTCCCAAAGTGCTGGGATTACAGGTGTGAGCCACTGCCCTGGGCCCAGATTTCTATATCTGAGTTTACTTTCTGAATAAATCAACCTCTCTAAGTTTGTACCAGGAGGAGTCAATAAAAGTAGATGCTAAGATGGGATTTTGAAGCTGAGCTGGATCACCTGTTGGCTAGCTGACAATAAAGAACTTTCTGTAAGCAGTAGGTAGACTATGAATAAACCCTGGCCCAATGTAACATTATAACTTAAAAGTTCATCTGGGTTTAACTTAGTGGTGTACCAATAGAAAAAACAAATGCAACTAGCAGGTGAAAGGTAGCAAGCTTTTAAGAAATATGAGAAAAATAGTAACTATAAAAGCAATGAAATTGTCTGGCTGTAGGGGCAAGCGATACTGTGGAGAAATGTAATGGAAGACTAGAGGTGGTAAGTTATCAATTAAAAGCTACATGTGAACAAATAGTGCTTCTTTACAGCATATAAAAAGCCTCTCAGCAGCAGATGGGCAAAGAAAGCTGAATATCATATCCAGAAGGCAGCACACCAACATGGCACATGTATACATATATAACAAACCTGCACGTTGTGCACATGTACCCTAAAACTTAAATATAATAATAAAAAAAAACTAACAGAACTCAGGAGAAAGATAAATTCTCAACCTAGGTAGGACTGCTATGCTGACATCAGGGCCCTGTTTAGGAAAGAATTGGACAGTTGCCTATGAGTTGGGTTGATGAACTTGAGAACCTTGAGTCCTCAGATTAATCTAACTTGAGCCTGAAAAAGTGGCTATTCTTCCTTGTTAAGGGCTAGTGCCCTTCCTTTGCTTGCAGGTGATGCAGACACCTCTTGCCTTCCAGTGAGCATGAACTCCGCATAGATTTGCCCCTGCCTTCCCTCCTGACCATCAGACCAATATATAAGAACTATAATTTGAAGGAGCTGTAAGAACTAGAAACATATATAATGTGAGTGGGTATTCAACATGCTGAATCAAAGGAGGATGACACATAACACTGATTAAGAAAGACTTTATTGAGATGAGAGCATTCTCTTAAAACAAAAGATTTAATACTTTGGCAAAAACTCCAGATGTTTCTAAAATGCTACTAAGATAATTCTAGAAACTGGAAAAGTATTGGCTCACATCAAAGAGGAAGTGCAATACCTGACCTGGCAGTTAGTGGATAATGGAGCAAAAGAGGGTGCAGAGATGTTCATTTTGTTCTCAAAAGGGTTCAGAAGACATGTTTACCAAAGCAGTAAGAAATGCACAGCTGAGAGGTGCTTCAATACCAAGTTCAGTGATGTCTGCTTTCTTGTATGCCAGGACTAACAGTAGCAGGTGCTGTTATATCAATATGCTCATTGAATTCAGTAATGAAAGAGAGGACTCTGGAATAATAGAGGCCAGGTCGTGGTGCATAATCATCAAAAATCCAGTAGATGTAATTATTGTAATGAGAGACATGGTCACAGTGGTAGCCAGGGGAGCTTGACATATACAGTTATAAAGCTAGTTAATAGAAGTTAACATCCCTGTGGTTAAGAGCAACCAACAAACAAACCAAGGAGTCTGAGGGCAGTCTCTTGCCTGTTTTCCATACCCTGAGTCCATTGACTGAAGAAAGCTAGAACAGAGCTGCCTACACTAAGGCCATTCCCTTCTCAAGCAAATCCCACACCCATTGAAGCATAAAGACTTGGTTCATACACACCAGTCCAGAACATCTCTGCAAAGCCATCCCACTTTCAAATTTTCTCATGTTTACGTGTGCATGTATTGCTCACTGCTCAACCTCTTACGCCCTTTTTCCCATAGGTGTTGATGTTGAGAGCAATTCTTAATAATCACTTGAATGTGAATCCACAAATTAGGGTTCTGTTTCCAGAAATACTCTTGCAATAATATTTAAGGAAACAACTTTTTTTCAGCTAAAAATTATAATGAGAAACCATATACATATATATATGTAAAATGAGGAGTTGTCTTAGAAAAGGACAAAGCATGCATGCCCTCAACTCCTCTTTGGATGATTCTTGATTGTCACCTAGGTATTTTGCCTATGTTTGTCACCAATTTATGTTCCATGGCAACAGCTAACTTCAGACTTTGTGTTGAACTAATATTCCAGACCTTAGCAGATTTTACTCTCTTTTTCCATGTTAGTGACAACTCTTGGCCCGAGCAAGAAGTGATCAAAGGGACAGGTGTCTTTTAACAGTAAACTAGTTTTTCAGAAATTAGCATGAACACAAAGAAACGTGCAATCCTCAGGGTCAGTATCTGCACCTCCCCAGTAATAGCCTCTGATTTCATCAAGTCCAGGTGCCATGTATTCCACCCTGCAGCTGTGACAAAATTAAGGGCTACCTGGCAAGACACTTACAGTCTCCTGGGCATATTTCTTCTTCTGTGGACTAAGCAGTTTGAATTTTTTTTAATTAATTGAAGTTATATATTTAGTAATGTTAACTTCACTACCATGAACATACAGAGGGCTATTCTCTGTCTCTGTCTCTCTCATTTTCTTTCCCCTAGACACTATACCATTTCAAAATTGCATCTGTTAACAATGTATCGGGCTTAGAATTACAACAGTCTTACTTTAAGTAAGTATTTTTTTTACATGTATGGTTTCACTTTAAAATTTTCCAATGAAAGAAAAATAGATAAAGAGATGGACTGAATTATTTAAAATAGTATGAAAAATGGTCTCTATGTATTCAACTTTCGTACTGTAAATATGAAGACTTCTAAAGAAACTCCCATTATTTAGTCATAATAGCATTAAAAACTAGTAAATGGTATTAACAATTACATATATTTCCTTGGGTTCTAAATTTTACTTCCTGAAAATTTTGTTACCATTCCATTGTCTCTCATAGCATTTTTTCAGCAGTTGAAGAATAATACATTTGTAGGAATTGATTATTTTTAATTAGGCCCTCTACATAAATTTTAAAATGTCTCTGGTAAAAGAACCATCAAAGAAGTATTTTGTTTTAGGTATAAATGAACTTTCTCGTACATTTTAAGAGAAAACCATCTTTTTGATTTATTGAAACTCAATTCTGTTCCCTGTCACATTTCCTCATAAAGTAAGATTGAAATAAAAAAGGTATATATATTATACTCTATGAACATATTGTACAGGTTCCCTTTGCCATTGTAAGTCGGATGTGCATTATAATTTCTTACCTTTCTCAACTCACTTTTACTGCTTCCTATAAATTTAAAAAAAAAAACTAACATAATTAAACCAAATTTCTCTTGATGAACCAAATTCATTCTTGATGGAATGAATGTGACATGCGACCTTCTATTCACAGTATAGGATGTGGTATTTGGAGCTCCAAATCAGGCTGAGTTCCTTGTTGTGTCACTTTGTACACATCATTTATACTCTCATCTTTAAAAACATGCATTTCATGTTTTTTATTTGTTAATTACTGATGTGAATACCCAAGGAAGTAACATATGAAGAATATCTAGCAATGGGGCTGGCACATGATGGAATCTCATAAATGGTATAAATAAAGTCCCCAGGTTTTACCCTAAAAGAAAAGACTTCTCTTTTATAGAATTGTAGAATTACAAAATAAGGCATTTCAGAGACCAAGAAGCTGCTGATGCATTTCTGTGATAGAATGTAAAATTTATCATTGAGTGTTTCCCCCCTTGTTATCTTTCATGGGATTTGTTTTGCACTTTAATATTCTACTGTAGATTAATCATTTTTAATGTTTATATACTTTCTGCCCAAAGAAATTCTACTCAGACCCTGAAACTAGACAACCCATGTTTCTATTCACTGCTCCATTAATTCTCAGATGTGTATGATGCTGAGTAAGTTACTTAAACACCTTTTGCTTTAGTTTCTTAATTTGAAAATCAGAAAAAAATAAAACCTCCTCCATAGTTTGTGCGAGTTATGTGAATTTGGATGTATAAAGTACTTAGAATATTTGGTATCATTATTACTTTTAATATAACTTTGAAATGATACAAGGTCTAATATAAAATGGAAACTGTACTTCATAGAGATTTGCCAATTAGATAAATAAATAATGCAAGCATCAATTCACAGACATCTATATCAAAATATGAGTGCTATGTCCTATGCAGGATACAAAGGTGAAGAAGATACACAGGACTTCATAACTGGATGAGAGGAGAAATAAATCTATACATTCTTGTAATTTATGCTGCCACATAACAGAGGCTCAAACAAGTTATAACAGAAATTGGTCTATGTATCTCCCCTTTTTCTGGCCACCACAATCAACTTATGACTGACCTTTTCTTGGCTATTTTTTGCTTCTCTGACAGTATTTTCAGAGGCTTCTTTGTTTTGTGACAAACAAAAAGTTCTTTTATGATTCTCAATTAACAAGTCTTGGAGTTATCTAATTCCCTTTTATCACAATATTCTAGAATAAATGCCATTTCTTTTCTTAATTATCAATGCAAAATGGTTATTAAACATTGTATTTTTTTCCTTTTAGTTTACATTATTTATTTTTATAATTTCTTTATGCAACTGCATTTAGCCAGTAGGGTGTGGAGTTATCCTTGCCTCCTCTTTTCACTGTAATAACTCTGTGACACTCTTAATTGTGGATTGATTATGAAGTGATCATTCTCTAGAACAGCAGGATTCATGGTACAACAATATCAAGTTTAATGCATACAACATAAATAATGAGATAATAATGCAAAAAAAAGTATATGAGGTTTTTACTGTTTTCGTTTCCAATCTAATATGCCTTCTCCAGTAGGAAGAAAGGGGCAATGTTATAGCCAATCTTAGCTGAGACAGTCTGTGACCATCGCTGACATTCATTTACAATGTGTAACAAAATTTAGTAATGCCTATGTGTTTGCCTTGCTCATATGACTTTTATATATCATACGTGTGATGACAGAAGTTAGAGCTAAGAACAGCTTTTCTAACTGTTCCTTCTGATTGTAATTTTAAAATATAATTTATAATTAATTTCCAAAAGCTAATGCCTCTTAACCAAAATTGTCTTACCAATTATTTCTGGGTGGAAAATATCAGGTATATCCTGTTTATAATGATAGGTCTTGAATTCTTCAGATTCTAACTGTTCTTTTTACTAACTGTTAGTTGAGTAAAAATTTGTCTCAAAATTGAAAGCTAAAGTAAAATATAGCACAACCTGACAAAACTATGCAAGGCCATGCTTTTTATTCTTGTGTTTTAGTGGAGCAGTTTTAAGTATTAGAAATGTGGAGTAAAACATTTAAAAATGAAATTACCGAAAAGGAAATGAACTAAGTGTTCAAAATTTATACTGTAATCATTTTAGACTTTAACAAATCTCTCATGATCTATGACTGATCCATGGTCATCATATGGTGTACTTACTGGCTCATCAATAACCCTTTATTGTTATCAGTAGTATGAAATCGTAAGAAGTGTTTAACATTATTTGGTTTAGCTCCTATATTTCAGAAAAAAAGAAAAAAACACTTCAGTAACCTGAGGTGACACTGTTAATGCTTTTTTTCCAAAATAACTGTGTGATCTAGGGGTATCTTACTTTCTTCTGCCCACTATTGAATGCAGATGCAACAAAAGTGCAAAGATTATAGGAGGACCACAACCTGAATCTGGGAAAGAGAGCTGACTTGGTATTCTGGGTGAAAATATAATCTATCCGCTTATTTTTCTTTGTGCCTTTCAAGAGAATTTTAGGTTCAATAGGCCAGTATGAACTGTTGCTCTCTCAGGATAATGCAGTTTTATTCTGCATAGTGTTTATCAGACAACCAGAAAGAGAAAAATGTTTCTGATATAGTTATTACAAACACACAGATGGTGTAGACTGAAAGAAAATCAGAAGCAAGAAAAGAGGTTCAAAGTTAGATTTTTAATGGAAATAGTTGCAGCTATCCATAACGTTAGAATTCAAATGTCAGTATTATCTGACCTGGTGAGGTCCAGCTACCTAAATTAATGGCTTTTAATTACGTATTTTACTAAAGTTTTCTGGTATACATAGACCAAGCTATTACAGTTTGCTTTTTACCAATGCTTTAAATTAGTAAATCATATTTATTAGATAAGTATTATACTTTTACAGATGTATATTAAAATAATTTCAAAGATACTGGAAAGCCAGAAAGAAGAATAATTTTATGCTTATCTTGATCTCTTGGATCTGCAAAACAAGTCGGCCTCCAAAACTACTATAAATCCATTTTCTTTTTACATTTTACCTGGCTTTGTCAATGGGTGATTGTGATAGTTTCTAAAATTATAGTTATGTTTTATAATTTGGCTTCACATCAATCCATTCTCTATCCAGAAAGCTGGATGATCTGTTAAATATGCAACTCTAATTAAGACATGCATCTGCATAAATCATGTCAATGGGCTTCCAGCTACAATTTAAATATCACCTTTCTCTGACATCTTATCAAAAGTTGATTTTTTATTAATATCTATGGTAGAATTCTACTCATTTATAGAATTTATTACAATTTAAAATTATATATCTTATTATATACATGTATGTATAGAAATATACATGTATAGGTGTTTCTTTAAATATGCATTTTTTGCTACCACTAATCCAAACATACACAAAAGAGAAGGTAATTCATAAGAACCAAGTTCCTATCTCTTTCATTTACCAGCACTTTGTAAGGACAAAATAACTCATTCACAGGTATATGCAAAATGGAACTATTTATCTATGAAATTAAGGAACTCTGAGTCAAAAGAAAATGCACCAAACTAGTAAATTCAAGCTTGTGTAACATCTTTCTTTCCCTATGTGAAATATGATGGCAACAACATAAATAATAAACACAGAATTTTTAAAGTATTCGTTGATTTTGCTTCTTCTAGTTTTGATCTTTCAAGAAACAGACATGTTTAATTTTTTAAATGGGTTAGCCTTCTATATAGAAATATAATGAACTTTGTTAAAATTAGTGCCATAATGCTTCATGCTAAGGCTTTACTAAGAACTATGGAGAACACTAGCTATAATCATTTTCTTCAAGGAGATTATAATCTAGTTAGGGTGATTGAGTATAACATTTTGTGACATGTTCAATTAATAATAGAAAAGCTTTTACAAAACTATACTGCATACAAATAATAACAAATGCACGGCTAAGCTGCAAAGACACACTTCAGGGAACTATTTTGCACTATTTTAGTACAAATAAGTAATCTATTTTGGATGAGTAATTTTCCTCACTGCATTAAACAGATGTGTTTAAATCAGGCATTTAATTAAAATTGAAAGGAAATGGGTAGTCATATTTTCCTAAACTATAGGCATAATTTGGTATCAAATATTTTTCTCTCAGGTTATAAAAGCTCTTAATTAAGTACAAGTGAATTAAGTGTAAAGCAGCACAGAAGAGTTTAATGCAAATTTTAGAAACATGTTAGTTGTTGTTCCAAGATCAGACTGTGCAATAGAGAAATGCTTTTTGCTTTTGTATTGCAGTCATATTTATTTTTAGCCACTTTTTATTCCATAACCTCTACCTGTCTCATGAATCTTAGTTTGCTATTTTGAGTTCATTTATTTAAAATGAAAAGAAACAATTTTAGAGCCAGCTGGATGATTCCATTACTGTCATTCTACTGCTACCATTTCTGTGTGCTTTTAGGAATAAAAAATTAAAGCCTTTTATGTAAATTAAAACCTAAAACATAAATTCCCAAGTTTTTTGATCCCACTATCTATAGAAAAGGAAAACCTTGAAGGATTTTTTTTAAAAATCAATAAAAAGTACATTCAACGTTCTCTTGTGACTTCATCTGTTCTTTCATAGTACCTATATTTTTTAAATTCTTCTTAAGACTCTCATTAATGCAGTTATAATTCATTAATGTGACTAATATTTATTAGTTAGTAGAATTATGGTGACACCATGAAAATCTTTATGGTTCAATAGACAGAGCTTATGATTGGAGGAAGGAGATTTTGAATCTTGCTTTCAGTAATAATGTCACTACAGGTGAATAGGTGAATTATTGAAACTTTCTGTACCTTGACTGATGTAATCTCATGGGAAAACGGTATCTCCCTTTAAGCATAAAATAGCTAAATGTACAGAAAAGCAATTATAATGAAGTGAGTTTATGTTGCTGTTATTTTTTTCATCATCATTATCATTTCAAAAGAACAAGAACAATCTTTAGATCCATATTTGGCAAGGATGAAGGGAAAAATCAAAAGTAATATGAGAAACTAATAAACCTCTATTCCAAACACAGTTGGAATTTTCTATAGTGATGTTTCTATTTCATCATTTTTTCAATAAGAAACTTGCATTAATGCACAGAATGTTCAATTTAGAATCAAATAGCCAAATTCCCATTTAATTTTCTGAGTTATATATAACCCATATAGCTCTTATATTTCCTGGGTAGACAGCTCACAATACCAGACGACATGACAATTTTGCTAATTCCCAATTTTGTTGTTCACAAGCTAGATTTTCTCTATAAATCTGATTTGAGAAAAATTAATTTCTAAATGTTCTTTTAGCTCTAATTCTGTGAGGTTTCATTACTACTGTAAGATGCATTTTATTTATATACAGACATAATTATTATGTAATATTATACACAATAATATATTATTGAAATATAATTTTCTTAGTGAAATACTAGAACAAATGAATAGTAAGACATAATTTATGTCAATCAAGAAACAATGTACATGGAAATATTGAAGGACACAGAGCATGCTACTTCAGATTGCATTAAAGACAACCAGAAAAGTTTTTAGAATAAAAGAAAAAGGATTGTATTCAACAGATTTTTTTTATTAAAAGAAAAAATATCAGTGAATAAAAAATATTGAAGAAAAATAATATGGGGTTAACACTGGAAATCAGATCCATGAAAGCAAATTTCAAGAGAAAGCTTTATTAAAAATAGAACATAAAAAGTCAAGAGAAGCATATTCTTGCTACTTAAAAATGTGACCTTTTTGCATAACTCAAAGTTCAAGTTTGTGTTTAGAAAAGGCTTCTGCAGCCCCTGACAACATCTATGTCAATTTATATAGACATATGAGAATATACAAAACTTCATGGATTTAATTAGGG
Organism: Homo sapiens; assembly: GCF_000001405.40. Taxonomy (NCBI): domain Eukaryota; kingdom Metazoa; phylum Chordata; class Mammalia; order Primates; family Hominidae; genus Homo; species Homo sapiens. The sequence continues at coordinate 57,319,047 of NC_000010.11, forward strand.
AGAGTTCTAGAAGTAGATAGACTCAGAGTTTATCACTAAAAACAATTTGAAGAAACCTCAAACAATTCCCATGTCTACTAAGGGAGAAAAAAATGAGAGGTATTTATAGGTAACTACCGTCTCTTTTCTGTGCTGCTACACAGCCTCCAACATGGTCTTTGCCATGTTAATTTTTCTAAAATATAAATTAAATTGTATTACTTCCCTTTTTAAAATCATTCATTAGTTTCCCCCATCCTCAAGGACAAAGGCCACTTTCTGTTCATGACTTACAAGGCTTTGCAAAATATGGCTTTTGTTTATATCTGTAATCTTACCTTATCCCATTCTTTTCTTCATTCAATATATTTCAACCACATGATCCTAAAATGTGCCAACCTAATTCAGTTGACATTATTTAACACCTGCTATTCCCTCTGAGGGTGTGTTCTCTGAATCACTCTCACTGTGAAAGATGCTCATCCTCTCTAGATCTGAGCTTAAATCTACCTTGTAAGGTATTTCTTTAAGTATCTCACTTTTAACTGGATCAGTTGAATTTACTTCATAGCCACCCAATGATGTTTTGAAACAATAACCATTTTGTTGCTCATTTTTCTTTGTGAATAATATTGTCTGTACTAAGCAAGGCAACTCTCCTGGTATCTGAGGGATCGATCATTCATTCAGCTCCTGTCAACTGCATGTCATTGGCAGCTCGCTTCTCGAGAGTAGCTTCAATTAGGAAGACCAATCTCTGGTCCATGCAGTTTCTCACATTCTAGAATGCTAAGCCAATTTGTTCACATAGTCAAAAGGCAATGGGGAGAGAGAGATCTTAATGCTCACAGCAGTCACACTATCACTTCTAATGCAGTTTTCAGGTCAATACAAGTCACTACAAAGCCCAGAATCAAGGGAAGAAGATACAGACTGCAGTGTTTGATGAGAAAAGCTGCAGTCGCATTACAAAAGATGCAGAAACAGAAAGGATGGAGAATCGTGGCCATTTCTGCGGTTCACTACACAGACTTATTGGTAGGAGAGCACCCTGTTTATTTCCTTTATACCACATGCGAAATGTGCTTCACCAGTTTGATGTTTGCTGGATTTGTTTGTTACTCCCTCTAGACTATAAACAGAACAGAGACTTTTTTTTTTTAACATAGTATTGCCATGGTCTGACATTACACTTTGCACTTGGTAGGCACTTAATGAATATTTTAAAATAAAAATTTTAAAAAGCAAAATAAGAAAACTCTATAGGAATAATTTTCCTTACAGTTTTACAAACATGAAGGTTCTTGTTAAGGCTCATATATCTGTCATCTATTCACAATCCCAATAACTAGCAATAACATTAAAATGCATAACAGTAATTTAAAAGTTATATCAGAGAAACTGGACAAAAACCTAGCTTAACTGGAATGTATTGCTTTATTAATAGGAAGGAGATAACATACATTTGCTCTGTGCACTCAATATGTCTGTCACTACGCTGATAATTTTGTTCACACCATCACTGGTCTGCAGAACTAATGAGAGAACAGAAGAAAGGTGACCGTTTCATGAGTCAGAGACCTCATGGAGAGAGACAGCATGAGGTCTCTGACTTAGAGATGGATGCTTGGATTATCTGGCAGGAATCCGTGGAAAGCTAGCACATGTAAGGTGAAAGGAGTTACATAAACAATGAATGCTAGTATAGGATTACCATAGACTTCAAGAAAATACAACCATGTTATGAATATAGATATTTTTCATAAGGAATTTGCCTTCATATAACTCCAGAATTTTAGTCTTCCCAAATACAGAAACATTCAAAATAGAATAGTTTTCAGATTTTGGTATTTAAGAATGCTGTATCCGGTTGAGATTTCATGATTTTTTTTTTTTTTTTTGAGGCGGAGTCTCACTCTGTCTCCCAGGCTGGAGTGCAGTGGTGCGATCTCAGCTCACTGCAAGTCGGCCTCCCGGGTTCGCCATTCTCCTGCCTCAGCCTCCCGAGTAGCTGGGATTACAGGCGCCTGCCACCACGCCCAGCTAATTTTTTGTATTTTTAGTAGGGACGGGGTTTCACCATGTTAGTCAAGATGGTCTCGATCTCCTGACGTCATGATCTTCCCGCCTCCGCCTCCCAAAGTGCTGGGATTACAGGCGTGAGCCACTGCTCCCGGCCCATGAATTCAATTTTAAGAAGAACTATGGTATTAGAAAGGACTAAAATTTAAATACTATGATCTTTTCTGCACAGTACTTATTCCCTGAATCAGAAGAACAAAAACTTACTTTAATATTGGTTATGCTGACATATTGAGAGGTGACAGCATGCTGGCAGTCCTCACAGCCCTCGCTTGCTCTCGGCGCCTCCCCTGCCTGGGCTCCCACTTAGGCGACTTGAGGAGCCCTTCAGCCCGCCGCTGCACTGTGGGAGACCCTTCCTGGGCTGGCCAAGGCCGGAGCCGGCTCCCTCAGCTTGCTGGGAGGTGTGGAGGGAGAGGCGCGGGAGGGAACTGGGTCTGCACGCGGTGCTTGCGGGCCAGCGCAAGTTCCAGGTGGGCGTGGGCTGGGCGGACCCCGCACTCTGAGCGGCCAGCCGGCCCCACCGGCCCCAGGCACTGAGGGGCTTAGCACCTGGGCCAGCAGCTGCTGTGCTCAATTTCTCGCCAGCCCTTAGCTGCCTTCCCGCGGGGCAGGGCTTGGGACCTGCAGCCCGCCATGCCTGAGCCTCCTCCTCTCCGTGGGCTCCTGTGCCGCCGGAGCCTCCGGGATGAGCGCCGCCTCTTGCTCCACGGCGCCCAGTCCCATCCACCACCCAAGGGCTAAGGAGTGCAGGCACACGGCGCGGGACTGGCAGGCAGCTCCACCTGCAGCCCCTGGGCGGGATCCACTGGGTGAAGCCAGCTGGGCTCCTGAGTCTGGTGGGGACGTGGAGAACCTTTATGTCTAGCTAAGGGATTGTAAAAACACCAATCGGCACTCTGTATCTAGCTTAAGGTTTGTAAACACACCATTCAGCACCCTGTGTCTAGGTCAGGGTTTGTGAATGCACCAATGGACACTCTGTATCTAGCTAATCTGGTGGGGACTTGGAGAACCTTTGTGTCTAGCTCAGGGATTGTAAATGCACCAATCAGCACCCTGTCAAAACAGACCACTGGGCTCTACCAATCAGCAGGATGTGGGTGGGGCCAGATAAGAGAATAAAAGCAGGCTGCCGGAGCCAGCAGTGGCAACCCCCTCCGGTCCCCTCCCACAGTGTGGAAGCCTTATTCTTTATCTCTTTCCAATAAATCTTGCTGCTGTTCTCTCTGTGGGTCCACATTGCTTTTATAAGCTGTAACACTCACGGCAAAGGTTTGCAGCTTCAGTCCTGAAGTCAGCGAGACCACAAACGCACCGGGAGGATCCAGCAACTCCAGACGTGCCGCCTTAAGAGCTGTAACACTCACCGCGAAGGTCTGCAGCTTCACTCCGGAGCCAGCGAGACCACAAACCCACCATAAGGAAGAAACTCCCAACATTATAAGGAATGAACTCCGGACACACCGCCTTTAAGAACTGTAACACTCACCGCCAGAGTCCACGTCTTCGTCTTCATTTTTGAAGTCAGTGAGACCAAGAACCCACCACTTCCGGACATCGTATAGCCTGAAAATAGAAAAAAATCATAAAAAATTACTTTGTTTAAACTAATGAGACCAAAGTACAATAAAGCTAAGGAAACTTTTTCTCATAAAAAATAAAATAATCACTATAATACTAATATTGTATTTGTGAAGCACTGTGTAAAATCTCTTCGGCCAACGAAGCACAGGATTAGGATTAAAGAGATTAAATACCATGCATAAAGACTGCTGGTGTTAGGTACAAATAAACGCAAGACTCCTAATTTATGATCCAATGTCTTCTGCTTTGTGATGAAATATAGCAATAAATTTACAAAGAAATAAATAAGGGCCATAGCGTTGGTTGACACGATGCTAAATAAATTGCAGGATCCTTGAAAGTGTATTAGATTTCTATTTAGTCAATATTTTCTTATACATACACAAAGCAAACTGTCCACAATTTAAAAGTTAAAATATAATTTCAAATAAATTTGTGTTCACCCAAAATTCATAGGCTAAAGTTCTAACAATTGGTACCTCACAAAGCGACTGGACTTAGAGATACATAATTAGAAAAGGGGCTTTGAAATGGTCATATGAGTGGGCCCTAGTGAACTCTTACCAGTGTCCTTGTAACTCAGAGATACCAGGGATGTGTACACAGAATGACGAAGACACAGTAAGAAGGTGACTATCTGAAAGCCAAGGATAGAAGCCTCAGGAGAAACCAAATCTGCTCACACCTTGATAGTGAACTTCGGTCTCCAGAATTATGAGAAAATCAGTATTTGTTAAGTCATCTAGTCTATGGTACGTAGACCTAGCAAACTAATGTATCCACCTAAAAGGGAAATATCTCTAAGACCAGGCAGAAGGTAAGCGGCCTCCATTATAGAAACAGCAATGATAATTGGCTATGTGTCTTAGGGCTGACAGAATGTGTAAAGTGACCAGCCTCCCTGGAATTCACTTCTCTGTTGGCACTTCTCTGCAATAACCAATCAGAGAGTTATCTATGCTGCTTTTACTCAGAATATCCTTTCTATATGATGACAGGTCTTTTAAAAAAATAAAAAGAAAACAAAAAACAGAGCTTGGATCTGACCTCTTGTGTTACAAAATGCATGGACTTCTCCCTAATTTTTTTGTGTCCCTTGCCCTCTGCCCAGACTCATGATACCAAGCTGACTTCCCATTCCTTGTTCTCTCTGGCATGCACTATTTGGCAATTGTCCAAAACCTTGGTTGTAGTCATTAAATTTGATCACTGGCATATCAAAGGGCCCATTAAAGGTGTAAGAGACTATGCAGCAACTTATGAGTTTTTCAATACACAATTCTATTATTGGGGACTGGCAGAAATCCAGGTTAAAATTGGTATTTTTGCCTACGTATAATATACAGTGAAAAGCTCAAGTTTCTCGTTGCCGCAGCATCTGCTCCTGGGAAATTTAAGAGGCCAAAAAGTGGAAAATCAAGTCAGGGCTATAGCTTGGATTTCAGGATAAATAAGGAATTGGTAAGCCATTCATGTTGCTTTTAGATATAAATAATTTTAGGCCAAAGGAATGGAGAGAAAAATCAATAGATATTTTATTCTTCTTTCACTCTGCAATGCTTCTCTTTCATCCTATAGGAGGCAGAGAGATGGCGACATTGATGAATATTTTTATGTTTTGATTTATATCTTAAGAGATCCCTTGGTATTTCAAGAGATATGTAGTATACTTACTGTTGTCAAGACACGTACTTCCCATTATATACCCCAGGAAAAGAAAAAGTAAGTTCAACTGGCAATTTGAAAGATACATTGTGAGTGTCTCTCACAAACACTGAAGACACATTTGAGTCTCTGATGTGCAATTTTTATAAAATGCTACCTTTGTGCGTAAAATAACTTTTTTTTTCCTGCAACTGTGGTAAGATTTCTGATCTGTATATAAACTAAGAGAACCATTGAAAGTGCCTGGGCATCATTCTAAGCAGACTATCACAAGGACAGAAAACCAAATACCACATGTTTTCACTGAAAGGTGGGAGTTGAACAATGAAAACACATGGACACAGGGTGGGGGACATCACACACTGGGGCCTGTCAGGGGCTGGGGGACTGGGGGAGGGATAGCATTAGGAGAAATACCTGATGTAAATGACGAGTTAATGGGTGCGGCAAACCAACATGGCACATGTATACCTACATAGCAAACCTGCACGTTGTCCACATGTACCCTAGAACTTAAAGTATAATAAAAAATAAAATAAAAAATAAAGTGCCTGGGCTCCCCCTAATGATCGTGGAACCAAAACGGACTAATTTTGCTTATACAGGATGCATTTCTTTATAGCTTTGGCAAATGACCTTAAACATGATCATTTACTTATGCCTCTCCTTTGTGCAAAATGTTCAAATTCCCCAGTGGCCTAAGTTCTGAGTATTCCATGGGGATGTAAGTTGCAGTGTGTCTGAACTGAATTCCTCCTGTTGCCATTTCTCTAAACCTGCTTCTCTGCTTACATTCCGTCTCTTGGTGGATTCTACTCAGTCATCAAAGCTGGCAGCTGGAAAGCCATCCTACCAGTGTTCTTCCCCGTGTCACTCACCATATTAAGTTGCAGATTCTTTTACTACCTCATTATAAACTTTGGTACTGCTATCCTAAGTGAGCATCATCAGCATAATTGATCTCTACAATTATAAAGTCCTCCTTGCTGTGTTTGCTCTAACATTCCCCACATCCTTTTCACTACTGTCTTGTGTTATGGGCATTTATCTCCTCTTCAGATCTCTTCATGTTAGTACTCACAGAAAAAATGTTTGATATCTCCCTTTTGCCTATGTTTAAAATTATTAATGTGGACAATCCTAATCTGTTCTAAAGCTATTTTCCTGATTACCACTGAAGTAAAGATACTGGATCATCCAACAGCTTAATGGAATACTAGGAAATTATCTTCACTGAGTCATAATTTTTGGTCTTTCAAAAAACACTCAAATTTTTCTGATACTGAACAAATGAGTGAAACCTATTGGGTTCAGAAAGAGATGAGATAATATATGCTTTTAGATCAATTTAGCAATTTTAAATCAAATTTTAGCAACATTTCCCCTATGGTTAGTTTCTTGCATGGTCTTATTCATTCCAATGCAGGACCTGAGTTACTCCCCTTCAACATTTGTTAATTTCTATAACTTATAACTGTTGGAGTCAGGTTGATTTGTACATTTTAATATGACATTGACAATATGTGTTAATCTGTCACACTTCCCTATAAGGATCCAAAAGTGCCAAAACCCTGCTTCACTGTCCTAAACCCATTCATTCCACATCTCGTGATATACACATATAGATTAAATAATAAAATCTTTTACACCACTCAAAGGCTGTGCGTATATACTGGAAAAACATCTGCATGCTTTATAAAGCACTACATACCCTCAGAATCTGAACAATGCAGTGATAATCTCTAATTACTTTGCTTTGTGGATATTTTCTTGCATTTCTCTCAGGTGATAATCCATAGGTTTTACTTACATACAACTATTAAGAATGCTTCATCTTAAGCAATCAAGAAGAAAGCTGATTTACCTAAAAGTGATATTCTTAAGCTCAAACTATATTTTGACATTATTATTTTAAAATATAGTAAAAATATACTAATTACCCCTTAAATACACACATGTACAGAAACATATACATCACTAGTAAATGTGTTATGCTCTTAATTTTTTTTCTGTGGAAATAGATTGTGAAAAGTGGCATGGGGAAATCTAAGAAGAATCATGAACACCCTAAAAATAAGAAAATAAGACAAATAATTTCTGATATAAGACTGTAAATAAAAGGAGTCTCTGAAGAATCATAGAAGTTTGGGCAAAGAAAAGTTTTATAAAATCAAAAGTATTAAAGTGTTAACATTCATGGATATTATTTACCTCTTGGTATTCTAAGGATACTTATGGCATAGGCTATATGTTTTCTCCCTTTTGCGTCGATTATGCAGTTTTTTTCAATTCTATCATACTTGGGCTTGGGGAAAACATGGAAGGAGATTTAGAGGGAAATGAGAACTCAACCAAGTAAACCTTCATGGTCTACTTGAAGGTTTACTTGGTTGGCTAAGGCAGATTGTAGAGAGACTTTCCAACAGTCTGGAGGAAAAGGCTCTGGTAGGCAGTTGAACAGTTTTATGCAACTGTATATTAAGGAACTCAATGGTTTGAAGTTTGATTAATCAGGGCAAATTTTGTTTTTTTATGTAAGCGTTTTTAGACTTTTATCTTTCCATCATTCTTTTGCTCCATCTCTCTGCCTTTCATTTCTTTGTTCCCTTTTCCTCTCTTCCATGCCTCCTCTCTCCCTCCCCTGCTTCTCTCTCTTCCTTCTCTCTCTTCATCTCTTTCTCCTCTCCTTCTTCCTCCTCCTTTTTTTACTCTTGTTCTTATTGTAGTTCATGTTCTTCTTATTGTTTCAGCCTCATTCTCGTCCTTCTTCTCCTCCTTCTATCCCACTCCTGGTTCTTTCTGTTCCTCCTCCTCATCCTCCTCCCACTCCTGTTCTTCTTCTTCTTCCTCCTCCTCTTCTTCTTCCTTCTCCTCCTCTTCCTTCTTTTTTTCTCCTCCTTCCTCTCCCTCTCTCTCCCCTTACCTTTCTTTGTTCCTTCTATTTCCATGTGTTGTAGATTTCACAGGATAATTAGACTAATAATTGTACTCCAGTTATTTGGGTGAGATTTTGATCTCCTGGATTTATTCTCAGAAAACATAACACTGCATTTAGCCATATAAGCTATGTTTACTTCAAAAGGTACTTTTTCTCTAGCCAGGTATGGTTGTCTGTAATTTAAAAAAAAAAAAAAGGCATCTGAGGAAAAGATGATGATAGATGTTACTTCTTTCTTTCAAGGCCCTCATGCAATATAAAACAGCAAAAAAAGTTGGAGATTTTTATAAGATGGAAGTCTACTCAATCATACTAAAAAAATTGTCTATGTATTACTTAGCAAAACTTAATTTGTAAATCACTGTATCTGTGTCATTGCCAATATATAGTTAATTAGAACATATAGCATCAGAAGAAAAGAAAATGTCTTCAAACTTTGAAAAACATCATTGCTCAAAACAGTAAAAGAAAATTTTACCCTTGAGTTTGTATCTAATTTTGCAATCAGCATAATTTGATGTTCGAAATAAAATTAAAATAGTTATTAATAGAACATAGAAATCAAGAAGTGCTAACTGTACCAGGGCGTCAAGATAAGTTAGCTTTCATCTTTAGTCTCCGAAAAAAAAAAAAGCCAGAAAAAAAACCTTTTACATTCTCTTGACTATTTTTCTCCTTATGTTAAAAATGGATATTTTGGGTTAGACTAATTTTTCTCTTGCATGTAAACAAAAGTGGTATTTGTTTAGAAATAACTAACTAGAATATGGAATTGGCCTGGAATGTTTCACAGTCTCAAAAACCATAGTTGATTGAATGACTGAAGCTTTATTTTAAATGTAAGTGGGAGACTTAAATGAATGCTTTTTAATTCCCTGAACTTAAAGAGAAGGGATTTACCCCAGTGCACCATTCTTTCTTTTTAAAATGAGAAACTGCTTTAATAGAGTCTAGAGTCTGTGTTCTGAGGCTGGAACAACTCTAAGATTTGACATTTTTAGTATGATAAACACTTTAGAGTTCTGACCGTTTTGGAATCTCCAAAGGAGTGATTAACTGTGAAGAAAGTAATCATGGATGAATAATTTAAGTGGTCTCATGTTAGTTTGAGTTTAATGATGTTCAAGATTTCAATTGCTTATGGAGTTCAAATTGCCTTTTGCTTTTTTCCTCTTTCATATAATTATTGGAAATTAAGTATATATATAAATATTTCATAGTTCATTCTTTTTTAATAGGCATCTAAGAATTATTTTGAATATGACATATGTCTAATCAGGACACTTACACGTGCTTTTTAGTTAATTTTAAATTATAGTTGACCCTTTAACAATGCAGGAGTTAGGGGTGCCAACTCCCATGCAGTTGGAAATTCGTGTGTAACTTTGACTCCATAAAACATAGCTACTAATAGCCTACTGTTGACCAGAAGCCCTACCGATAACATAGTCACTTAACATATATTTGGTATGCTATATGTATAACATAGTGTATTCTTACAATAAAGTAAACCAGAGAAAAGAAAATCATAAGGCAGAGAAAATATATTTGCCATTCATTACATGGAAATGGATCATCATAAAAATCTTCATCCTTATTGTCTTCAGGATGAGTAGGTTGATGAGGAGAGGAATAGGAGAGGTTCTCCTTGCTATCTCAGGATGACAGATGCAGAAAATCCACAAACGGACTTACACAGTTTAAACCCATCTTGTTCAAGGGCTACCTATATTTATAGTGACACAATTAAATATAGTTGTATTTATAATTTCTAGAATTGCTATTTTTTGCTACACTTATGTTTCTTCTTTCATGCCTATAAGAAAAGACCTCTATGGAGAAAAAGGGGGAAAAAAAAGCACTTGAGGGTTATGATAAGGATATGGCACCTGTACATACCAAAGTCAGCAGAAAACAGAGTAATAATTCAATGGTAGAAGTGTAGACAAGTAGGGATTTGCTTTTTAAAAAGATATAATTTTTAATCATTTTATGCCTGAGAAGCAGATTTTAGCACATGTTTGGTTATCTATTGCTATTATATAACAAATTATTTCAAACTTTAGTGGCTTAACACATCATTTTATGCTATTCATGATTTTGTTAACCAAAGATTTGGGAAGGGCTTGGCTGGGGCATCTGTCTCTCACTCACAAGCTGTGAATTGGAGTAACTGAGGATAAGGAAGTCAGTTCCAAAATGGCTTCATTATGTATACGTCTGGTACCCTGGTGGGGACAACTGGAACACTAGATTCTGAGGAGTTCCTTTGGTTCTTCATGTAGCTTCAGGGTGTCTCTCCATGGTCTTTCTAGTATATTAGTTTGACTTTTCAATTGGTGAGTCAGAGCTCTATAAGCTATTCTAAGTAATAAGAAGCATAAAATGCCCTTCTTTTTAAAGGTTAGAGCTGGAATTGGCATGAATTACTTATGCCATACTCTGGTCATACATTAGGGTAAATAAATCTCATCTCTCTAGGGAAAGCTGTCAACATATTTGTGTCATATTTACTCTGCCATAGTTCATACTATATCTCTTTCCTCTATCCTACCTCTCACATTTATCCAATCTCATAAAATGTATTTACAATGAATGTTTTCTATATCCATCAGCAAGTGTACCATCTTCTTTAAATGCATCTATCAATTACACTATGATCAGTATAATAACAGAGGATAAAATGGGGATAACTGGATATGATATTACTCTTTGAATATCTATTTAACATTTTTATTAGCAGGTACTGAAATGGATTTTTCCTCAGTATTCCCATAGTGTCTTAGACAAGGGAAAAAGACAAACCTCCATTAAGAACATTCTAAATCCTCTAAAAACTTCTGAATTATTGTGGTACCATGTGGAACTTGTTCGTTCTTTCCCACATCTCTGCTATCTCCAGAAAAATATTTTGCAACTTGCCATATGCCATCCGTATACTTCATGCCCATATATAGACAGGACATAATGTCCTGTAATCTGATGATTCAGAAAAGTCTTGATGAATATTCTTGGGAAGTAAAATAAAATATATTAATGTTTATGAAGACATCTTACTTAATAGCTACTTGATATATGATCACTCATCAAATTCTCTCAGATGAATATCTATAAATTAGATATTTATTATTCCTTTATTGAAGAGAAACTGAGACTGACTGAGAATAAACATTTCCAAGGTAACACATTTATCATGTATCTGAGACAAAACCTGAATTTAGTTTGGACTGATTCTAAAACCTATTGCAATAATCAGGGTAGGTTAAATTATGCTGCAATAATAAGCAATACCGTTTCCCCCGAAAATCAAGCAAACCAACACATGAAATTCCCATGGCTTATAACAAGTAAGGTTATATCTTAATTTCATTAGGGATATCCTTCATGAGTTGGTTCAGCTCTGTTCAATATTATTTTCATTTTTGGACCCAGAATAGCAGAGCAATCTCTTTCTGGAACATAATTATTCCTACAAAGAAGGAAGAGAGATACAGCAAACTACCAGCAAACTGGCTCTTAAAGCTTCTGCTTGAAAGTGATGCAACCGACATCTGTTCCTATTTCATTGATAAAACTCATAGTCCCAAACATGATGACAATGCAATAGGAGAGTATAATCCTCCATCCATGTGGAGCAATGAGTACTTGTGAGCCATAATGCAACCTTCCACACTCATTTCCCATTTGCACATTATTTGTTCTTTAGATTATCTTCTTCCATCTTTCCACTTGCCACAATTCATTCTGTACGTTCCATACATATTGGTGCATAGCAGAAACAGTAATCACCAAGAGAAGCAGCAATGGTGCATCTTTGGCATGTGGTTTCTAGTGCCAGGAGCAGTTATTTCAAGCAGATAACACATGATATGATCTACTAAGATATGAGCAGAACTTCTTAATATTCTTGTATGAAAATCGTGGGAAGAGGCGGAAGTGCTGAGATCCTATGAGGAGTGATATTTGAGTAATTCCTATAAATGTGACCAATTTATTTTATCCCACAATTTCGTAAGGCCCAAGAATCTCTGGTTTATTAGTAGTAAAGGACTTTAAAGAATGAATATTAACACAGTCATGTAAAGAAACTTCTTCACTCTATAAAGGCTTAGCAGTTTATTCTGTTCAAACTGACCATCTATGAGAAAATATCCAAAGAAATGAATGTCAATTCATGTTTCTATGATTGTCAAGAAATGAAATAATAAGAAATCAAAATTTTGAATTCCTGATGCTCATACTCAAGTAATCTTCTTTAAAGACCACAGTGTCCAGGCATGTCCTTGGAAGGACAAATTACTGCAGGTTTCCTTCAGAGCTCCATTTATTTAAGACTCTTTCTCTGAATTAACCATATAACCATCAGCTTTGGCTCTTTCATAGCCTGTCAGCAGATGAAAGAGGGCTGAGTGTGATCAGAAACAGGTTTGAATGGTTAAATATGTGCAACAACAATGGCATTTTACTATACATATAGCTTATAGACTGCTTTTTATTTAACACTTTTCCTGGTCTCTTTCAGTGTTAAAACTATGTAATGATATTTACTGATAGTATTTCATACAGAATTATTTAACCACACTTTTTGATTTAGTCATCTAATTGGTTTCCAGTATTGTTTATAACATGTAATATGCTACAAATAATATGCTTGAAAAGAAATCATTTTCTTTTTAAAAAAATTATGTCCTTGAGAAAGATTGTGTGTACTGTGATTTTGCATTCCAAAATATATACATGTTGATTTTTTTTTTGCTTGGTATCCTTCCTGGACTGCACAAATATTTCTTGTCACTTTTTCCACACATAATTTTTCTACATAAAACATTAGAATTATTTGAAATAACTGACCACCTAATGGAAATAAGTACATCAGTATTTTAACATGTAGTTTTTATTCATTAGCAATTTCCAACATTTTTAACACATTCCTGTCTTTTGGACATCTGGGTTTATTATCTTGTAAATTATCATTTCCTTTTTCGATTTTCTATTGGAATATTCATATTTTTTCCTAAATGTATAGACCTATTTACATAAATGATGCTAACCCTTTGCTATAATATATATTAAACTATTTTATCCATTCTTTGGTTTAATTTTTCCAATTGTTTTAGAAATAAAATCTGTCAATATTTTACTCTGCAGTCTCTGCCTTGATGTCTATGTACAGTCAAGGCTGTAGAAATACTAGGCTCTGTAAGGATTGAAGCATGCATAAATTCAATGGGTGATCACAAACAACAATTCTGGTGCATAAGAAACACGACTTGAGAAGGGAGCTATGGAATTATGGGCAGGGATAATAACTATCTCATGTTTCACTTGAAAATTTAGTGGCAGAAAATAGGTTATTAACTTTGCAAGCTCTCTGAGTTTTCCTTTCTTTTTATTTTAGACCAACAATGTCTCCCCTAAAATGCTTGTGTGTTGGGGGGGGGTGGGGGTTAATTTTTCTTCAATCCATTAACTCATGTGATTCTAAAAATAATAACATTTTTGCAGACAAGATCATTAAGCCCATTTGATAAATATTAAGGAAAAAGAAAAGCATAAATATGTCTCCTAGTATCATAGGCAAGTTATAGACATGTCCATAACCTGATTCAGGTCTTCACTTCACATCAGAATCTGTATTGTATGATAACATGTGGTTTTCCCTGTTACTCTTTGCTGAATACGTTGGCTGATGTAAGAATCATCAGTGAAGTTTTTTTAATGACATTAAGTTTACCATGAAATAAAATTCATATTAGTTTTAATACTTTGTTATTTCCTCATAATGTACACATTAAACTGTACATTATAATGTGTACATTATGAGGAAATAACACAATACATTTATTACCAATTTTACTATCATAATATTTTAAAAGCAATTTCAGAGAACTAATAGTTTGTAACATTAAGCCAGAATTATTATTTGATTCTGAGGTATCTTTGTTAAACCCTTGATATTTCCATTGGAAAAAAGAATTGAGTTGGGCCACAATGAAAGGAACACATATATGTGATTCTAACTCTATATTTAGTTATAAAAATAGTATCTGAGAATGTTGGCTCATATCATTTAAGCATTTTACATATGTCCAACCATTTTCATAAACTTGGTAAAATAAGATGTATACATTGTAGACTGACATGGTTCGGATCTGTGTCCCCACCCAAATCTCATGTCGAATTGTAATCCCCAGTGTTGGAGGTGGCACCTAATGGGACGTGATTGGATCATGTGGGCAGAGTTCTCATGAATGGTTTAACACCATTCCCTATGTGTTGTTCTCATGATAGGGAGTGAGTGAGTTATCATGAGACCCGGTTGTTTTAAAAGTGTGTAGCACCTTGCCCCTCTCTAGCTTGCTCCTGCTCTGGCCATATAAGACATGCCTTCTTCCCCTTTGCCTTCTGCCATGCCTGGAAGTTTCCTGAGGCCTCCTCAGAAGCAGAAGCTGCTATGCTTCCTGTATAGACTTCAGAATTGTGAGCCAATTAATCCTGTTTTCTTAAATAAATTATACAGTTTCAGGAATTTTTTATAGCAATGTGAGAACAGACTAATACATAGACCTATAAGATATGGAAAGTGGGTAGCATGTGTCATTGATGTTTTACAAACATAGATACAAAGGCTCAGACAATTTAGTGACTTGCTTAAAACCAAACTTAGCTACACGTTTGTATGATTCATCAAATTCATTCATTACATATTTATCGAGATCATTGTATGTGTCAAGCACTATTCTACCACAGGGGGCATAACTGTGGGAAAAAAAAAAACTAATGAAAGTCACCTTGTGGGTCATAAGTCTACTGTTAATGGTGAGGAGGAGAGCAGTAAATACATGTAAAATATGTTTATACTTATATTTTGCATGTATCAATACATATAAAAATGTATGATCTTACAGTATTTTAGAAAGTAGTAAGTACTAGAACAAGGTAAGAGAAATTGGGTGTGCAGGCAAGCTGCAAGGTCATAAAGAGTGGTCAGAAAAACCTCCATAGAAATTCTAGAATGTTAGCAAAGATTTGAGGATGAGATGGAGTGGTGTATAGATATCTGAAGGTATCTTGAGGAAGAGCAAACAACTGAACAGCCCATGTACTGACCCTTAGGCTGGAGTGTGATGGTTTTGCAAGGAACACTAAAAAGTAAGCATGGACAGAAAAAAGCACATTAGAGGACAATCATAGAAATTAAGGATGGCATGTTAATTGTAGCCAAGTTATGAAGGGCTCCGTAGAATTTTTAAAATTCGTTTTATATATTTAATAAAAAGAAACACATACTCAATTTTAAATAGATTT
The DNA here is from genome assembly GCF_000001405.40 of Homo sapiens. NCBI lineage: Eukaryota > Metazoa > Chordata > Mammalia > Primates > Hominidae > Homo > Homo sapiens. Next base: position 57,334,606 of record NC_000010.11, read on the forward strand.
TGGGCTCATGGAACTTGTGTATATCATGTTCGACTGGATCCAGGGGCTCAAATTATGCCAGCAATTTTTTTTTTATGTTTTCTTCACTGTGATGACACTATTCTCTACTTGTGCTATTTGAATTGCTCCATAAATCTTGAAGATGGCTACTTGCAGCCTTTGCTACTAGTTTAACACCACCAGTTAAAAATAGATTTCCCCCGGTGATATTATGCCAATACAAATGAAGAACCTCAACCAGCTTTGTTTCATCATTTGTCAACCCCTAAAATGCTCATTATTGTGAGACAGAGGTAGTGCTACAATGTGAAAAATCTAGATTTCATGATAACTTCTGTAGCTCAGGTGAGAGGCTTAGATTGATAGTTTACCAGAACCACATCGGATGGGGCCGATTACTTTCCACAAAGAAAGGGATGTCGATGAAAACAAGTATCTATCCCTGCTTTAATGCCTAGTAAATGGAGTAAAATCATACATATCTTCTGATTTCAAATCCTGCTCTCTTTCTTTTTACAAGAAGATTATTTTGGTTGTAAACTCCTTAAATCTCTAGAGTTCTAATTCTTTATATTGTTGACTGGTTAGATATCTCCTTTATGCGACACCATTGCAAAATCTTGTGTGTCCAGGTTCTTTCTAAATCACATGCACAACTACGTAAGAGGAGCTCTCAGTTTAGAGTGCAAACATAAATAGCACTACTCCTCTTCCTGTAGTCTCAAACAAGTACTCAGAAAAGCACTCTCTATACCTACAATAAAAATCTGAATAGTGTAGCATTGAACTCTTTGTGGAAAAGATACATAATTCTTTGAAAAAATACTCCAAATTTGCATCCTGTAAGTGAAACTGTACATGATAATGAGTTGTTAACCTTGAGTTCTTTTTTACCTGTAGAGGGGCTATGAACGGGCCAAGGATAATGGTTATATGGTTGATACAGAGAAAGAGACTTAAATAAAAGGGACTCTAGAAATATTCAGTAATTTACCCTTTCAACGACTTTCCTGGATACTTGTCTTTAAATAAAACGATTTTATAGCATGGTGTTCTTAGAATGTGAGTGTTAGCAATCCTTTGGATGTCACCCTATATTTGGTGGATACATGCTATCTGAATTCATTTGTGTGGCATATTTAAAATTAGTCACATTCACTTGGAATAGGGAAAGTTAGGAATATATTCCGTCAAATTTACCTTAGGCAACAGAGGACTGGAGGAAACTATTTCTCTGAATAAACTACTTCTGTCTACATAAACGTGTGTTCCAGCTTTCTTCCCTTTTGTGTCGTTATATCTGAAAAGAAGAGCGAAATCGGGGCAATGCTGAGCTACTAACTAGTATTTAGATTGGAAATAAGTATGAACAGTTTGTTAGTTAAAGGAGTTTATTTAACAAGCCTGAAGATTGAAATGAAAAGGCAAAAGATTGAATTCTTTGCTGTCTCCTAGCATATATCTTTCTGAATCACCTAAAAATGTTTAGTTACTTGTAAATTCTGAGATGTCAGCTTCTACAATGCTACTTTATTGGCAATGCAGAAACATGGGAAATACTATAAAATATTACTACCAACCCGTCCCTCACAAATTTAACTTTGTCATTAACAGATCTCTGAGTGATGTACTTTTGTGTCCAGAATTGGGAGGGTTCTTGGTCTCACTGACTTCAAGAATGAAACCAGAGACCCTCGTGGTGTTACAGTTCTTAAATATGGTATGTCTGGAGTTTGTTCCTTCGATGTTCAAACGTGTCCGGAGTTTCTTCCTTCTGGTGGGATCGTGGTCTCGCTGATTTCAGGAGTGAAGCTGCAGACCTTTGCAGTAAGCGTTACAGCTCTTAAAGGCAGCGTCTCTGGAGTTGTTCTTTTCTTCCAGTGGGTTCGTGCCCTTGCTGGTTTCAGAAATGAAACTGCAGACCTTTGCGGTTAGTGTTACAGCTCTTAAACATGATGCGGACCCAAATAGAGAGGCACAGCAAGATTTACTGCCAAGAGCAAAAGAACAAAGCTTCCACAGCACTGAAAGGCATGTAAGGACGGTGCTGCTGCTGGCGCAAGTGGCCTGCTTTTATTACCTTATCTGGCCCCCACCCACATCCTACTGATTGGTCCATTTTACAGAGAACTGATTGGTCCATTTTACAGAGAGCTGATTGGTCCGTTTTACAGAGAGTTGATTGGTCCGTTTTGACAGAGTGCTGATTGGTGCATTTACAATCCTTTAGCTAGACAGAAAAGTTCTCCAAGTCCCCACCCCAACCAGAAGCCCAGTGGCTTCACCTCTCAATGGCACTCACTGCCAGACTTTGGGGTACCTAGCCCAGGCACTTTGGCAGTGCAGAGGGAGCTTGTGCCCCATCAAGGCCAGCAGGCACTGGCTGGCAATGCCTAGTGCGGGGCCGCTGAGCGGGCGCCCACCCAAAACCTGTGCCAGCCTAAGAGCGCCCAGTGCAGCCCCGGCTCCCACCTGCGCCTCTCCCTCCACACCTCCCAGCGAGCAGAGGGAGCCGGTTCTGGCCTCCACAGGCCAAGAGAAAGGCCCCCACAGCACAGCGGTAGGCTGAAGGGCTCCTGGAGCGTGGCCAGAGCAGAGGTGGAGGCCCAGGAGGCGCCAAGAGCAAACGAGGGCTGCTAGCACGTTGTCACCTCTCAATTTGACCTGTATTAGTTCTGAATACAATGACAACCAATTTCAGCAAAGAACTCAAGGATATATAATAGGTCACACCATGATTCATTCAAATGCACACTAGGCTCTGGGATTTCTTAATGGAATCTTGTCTTTATTGATTTCAAAGAGATCTAGAAACTTAATGACTGCGTGTTTTGTTTTTCCTGTGTTCCAAATTACTTCAGGTAATTAAGATTGCAAAGTAAAATACTTTGAACCATCACTCTTCTAGCTGCCAGAGAGGTATTCATTAGTTTGCATTAAATCCGATTGTATTTGGAATCAGCATCACTTTTATCAGTAAAATACCTCCCTTTTTGCATCAAATATTGAATAACTTCTTTCTCTAAGACAGGATTTCTCAAGCTTGGCACTATTGATATTTTGGGCTGGGTAATTGTTGTATGGGTTATTCCATGCATTGTACTTAATATTTAGCAGGATCCCTGAACTCAAGCCACTACATGTTAATTTAACTCTTCCCCCACCACACACACACACACACACACACACACACACACACACACACACACACACACGAGTTATGACAACAAAATTTCTCCAGATACTAAATGTCCCCTGAGAAGAAAATCACCCAGGTTGAGAACCATGACTCTACAGCAATGGCAACTGTCATAAAAGGTGTAGTCAAAAATTTTTAAAGAGAAATGTAAAGTTAAATGTTATGTAGTCAAATAACCCCTCCTATTGCAGATTACTAATTTAAATAACAGAAAAGCTTATGGAATTGAGTAAGGTGACACAGAGCCAGGATTTAAACTCAGCTACCTCAAATTTCTATCAAATGCCTTATAGTTATTCACTATAAAGAAAATAAAATATTGTAGAAGGTATAAACCCAATTATATTTATTTGTTGACATACTTTTTAAAATTATATTTTATGCAAATTGATATATATCTTAGCAGTTATGCATTTATGTAAAGGCTTTTATATTTTTATGAATGAACTTTTCCTTGTGAAAAAATATTCAAATAAGTTGCTGGCTTTGATTAAAACACAAATGTTAATGCAAACCATATCAGAAAAGAAAAAGAATACTTATCATTAGAGCTTGATTAATGACTCAATCATATACATTGTAAATTTTTGATTAGAAATATTCCACACTAAAATAATTATATTAAAAAATTGTTTTTATAATATTAGGAGAAATAAAAAAATCATTTGGAAGTTTATCATTGTCCCTAGTGTTTTGTCTGAAGGAGATTGCTAGTATGCGTGTGTTTGTACGTGTGTGTGTGTGTGTTGTGGATAATCAGAATTGAAATATAATTTTCCTCCTGAATCAATTTTCTAAATGTGTTATCTTTACAATTCAATTACATGTTTAAAATGCACTACTACACTTCTTCTTAGGTTTCTATTGCTACTGTAACAAATTATCAGAACTTTAGAGGCTTAAAAAGCACAAATTTATTATCTTCCAGTTTTGTAGGTCAGAAATCCAACACAGGTCTCACTGGGCTAAAATTAAGGTGTCAGCAAGGCTGAATTACTTTCTGGAATCTCTTTTCCAGAACGTAAAGTCTCGGTGGAATCTCCACTGAGAACTTTTACCCTTTCTAGCTGCCTAAAAATTATTTCTTAGTAACTCCTGTATTATTTTCACCCTCAGGAGATTTTGCCCTAACTGCTGTTGGGGGTGTTGGATGATGATTCTTTCTGGTTACTTCCTGCCAAAAAGGGGCGTGGTGTGGGGGTACAGCAGTTGGGGCTCCTCCTGAGGTTGGTCTAAGGGTTCTCACAAGATTGGTGTGTCCATGTGTGGCTCTGTCTGCAGCACCATTTGGTGTTTGATTGCTTTTAGGCAAAAAGAGATAAATTTTACAAGAAGGTTTAAAATATAAAGTTAGAATATGAGTATTAAGATTATCACTGTTAGTGGGGATACTGTAAACCTTAACTATGACAATAGTTTGATACCTGTTAGTTACACCAATGGATTGTAATACCGGTCTGCCTCCACTAGATGTCATAGTACACTACAAGAAAAGTTAATATAAAAGTAACATTTTCCTTGAGAAAAACACATTTTGCCCCTTGACTTGCCACTAGGGGATAATTTTAGGCTTAGGCCTTTTTTATAACTTGTGATATGATTAAGAGAAAAGCAGTATTAGGTGGCTAAAATAACTTTAGTGTCAATCTTGGCAATTATTTCCATTTAATTATTAAATTCTTACATGATTTTCACAGACCCTCTTAAAACATATTCAAACTTTCTGACTTGTCCTAAACATTCATCCTTAAAACAACCAGTCATTTCCTTTTAGGATGAGAATTTACTATACAAGATCCTTTCTTATATAAAATCTCTCTTTTATAACCTTTCCATAGCTTAGAGTGCACCATATTATCAATCTTCAGTAAAAAGTCCTAGCAAACTTAATGATAGTAAAACTTTCATGGTTACTTCTTGATTGTAACTAGTACTCCTGCTACAGGCAAAACAAACTTGACTAAATCCTTCCTGTAATTATTAATCCTGCTATAAAGATGATAATTAGGCAAAATATTACAGCCATGAGAATTTTAAAACCAGAATTCCACATTGTGGGTACCACAGTGTATAGCTTTATTGCAAATCATAGCGTGACTATAACAATTCCCATAAAAGTGGCATAGTAAATAATTTTTGTTTAAAACTTTACTTGCCAAGATATAACATTTCCCTTGGGGGATTTATGAAGTTACAAATGCAATTCCATGTATAATTAAAATCTCTCTGCAAATACGCGTTACAAAGAAGTTCTATTATTTGGCAGAATAATTATATTAAAATAAATTATTTTTATAATACTAAGAAAAATAAAAAAAATTATTTGAAAGTTTATCATTGTCCCTAGTGTTGTGTCTGAAGGAGATTGCTAGTATGTGTTTGTGTGTACGTGTGTGTGTGTGTATAGATAATAATAATAAAGGTAGAAGTAATAAAAAGTATTTGTTGAGGTAAAGGAGTGGGGCTGAGTAAGATGATTGTCCCTCACTCAGTTAGTTATCTTTTATGATTTTCAGCCTAAGATCTTCTGTTTCTCCACATTGATATTCGAGATGTTCCTCTGGGCTGTCAGGGGTTGCTCCCTCAGGTCTTCAGGCATTGACTTGAGTGTGATGTATTCAGAAGTTGATACCTGTAACGTTTACTGCTGAGGGGGTTGAAAGAAGAACTGTATAGGGCCCTTCCCAGCTTGGCTTAAAGAAGAAGAGAGAGAGATGAGTTTTCACTAATACGAAATTTCTTAGGTTAAGTAAAGGTGGTCCTATTTCTTGGGGTTGGGCTTTTTCTAGATGTATCAATTCCTATTGAAAGTGAGCTAGAGAGGGTAGATGCTTAACCAAGTTAGAGGTTTTCTGCCTGAAAACAACCTCTGAGCACATTGATAAGTTTTATCCTTTCCTAAGTGAAAAGCTTGGTGAAGGAATGTAAGGACTTTCCATTGACTGGAGGCTGGCAAATGGAGTTTGCCATCCTCTGACTGTAGCTATCCTGAGTTATGAGAAGTACACCCTTGAGAAGTGGCTCACTCTATTTCTGCAGGGGAATAATGAGGTTTAATTTTTCTTATGGAGCCTTCCTTGATTAGGATGGCTTGAAGTGTGTTAATCCCTTGAGGCTTCCTTGCCACCAACTTAGCTGCCTGATCAGCTAACCTATTTCCTTTGGCTACTTTATCTGTTTCCTTTTGATATTCCTTACAATGCATTCCTGCTATTTCTTGTGGAAGGAAAACTGAGGATAATAGCCTGCTAATTTCCTGGTAATATTTTATAGTAAATCCATTAGTGATAAGAGAATGTCTTTCCTTTTAAATGGCAGCATGAGCATGAAGAACTAAGAAAGCATACTTGGAGTTAGTATAAAAGTTAGCTACCTTTCCCTTGCTTAATTTGTGATCTTATAAGAACTTTTAGTGCAGCTAATTCAGTGCTTGTGTCTGGGGAGAGACATTTTTTAGACGTTATCCTGCCTTATGTATTGCTTGCTTTACTGGCTGTTTGTTTGCTAAGGATCCTCCGTCCACTCCTCACAGCCTGTTTACTACTCTAATGAGCAGAGCTTCATGTGCTTTTAGTAACGGCAGTGATGAAGATGACCTCCCTCCAGACCTGGCCGAGGCAGTGGGAGTGACCACATCTACAACCACAAACACCACAACGGCCGCCACTCAAGTCTCCATGCCACTGCCGTCCCCCAAGGTCCAGAATGTCAGCTCGCCTCACAAGTCAGAAGGCCAAGGCCTGCTGTCCCCTGGGGCCAAGGTATTGGGGGGTGGAAAGCTCTGGTGAGCAGCCACACTTGCTGGGAATGTGGGGTGTAAACAGGTAAATTATTTCCTAGGGTTAATTTGGAGGCTTTTCTGATGAGTAGAGCTACTGTGGCAGTGGTTTGGAAGCATGTATAAATAACAGGTCCTCCTAATTGCAACTAAGAGGCTGAGAAAAATATTGGATTGGAGTTTGTCCTGAGACGCCCCTTACAGTCGTATTATGGGAAGAGGGGAGGTCTAAATTAGAGAGGAGCAAAGAGAGACAGACAGGCACTAGTGTTCAGAACGAGGTCTACTTTCCTTCCTTCAATTTCCAGAATTACCCAGAGCTCCTGTGCTGTAATGACACTTTAGCCACCGGAGCCAGGATTTGAGCCCCAAGACCTATCAGTCCTGCTGGAATCATCGGTGAGACTGGTTCTGTACTCAGTGACCTCTGCCTTCGGGGGCAATTTGATATCCAGTGGCCTACACTTCAGGCTGGACCTGGTCAAGGTGGCTTCTTCTTGATGTTTGGGCACTCCTTCTTAAAATGCCCTGGCTCGCCACACTCATAGCAACTAACGGATGCACCTGGGGTATCCTGGACTTTGCAAACTTGCAAAGCGGCTATTAGAGCCTTTGTCATTCTCCTGAGCTTCCTCTCTATCTTTTAGGCCTCCTCCTGGTCCCTATTATAAGAGACCAAAGTGGCCACCTCAAGGAGGTATTCCAAGATGCTATCTGGTCCTATAGCTTACTTCTGTAGTTTCCTTCTAATATCGGAAGTTGCCTGTGTAATAAACTTAAGCTTTAGAATGAGCTGTCCCTCAACTGAATCAGGGGATGAGGAGGTGTCCTCTTTTAGTGCCTCTCTCAGCCTTTCCACAAAGCCTGCAGGATTCTCATCTGGCTTTTGGTCTATCATGGACAGTTTAGAGTAATTAACAGATTTTGCCCTATTCTTTCATAGGCCCTCTAAAATACATATTAAAAAGTGCTTTATTTTCCATTCATCTGTAGAGCTATTGGGATTCCAATTAGGGTTGTCAAGAGGAACAGCTTCCCTTCCTATTGGAAATGGTGTTTCTGCTATTTCTTCCCTTTCCCTATCTCTTTTCTTCCTTTCTGATATATTACAGGAGGTATATTGCTCATCTCCAAAATTATCTGCTACCTGCAGAACTGCCTGCTGTGGTTAGAGTTTGGTTTAGGAGCAGCATAACATCCTTCCATATGAGGTGAAACACCTGAGTTAAATTCTGGAAACCTTTTGCATACCTATTGGGGTCGTCAGAAAATTGGCCTAGTTCTTCCTTTATTTGCCTAAGGTCCTGTAATGAGAAGAAAACTTGAGGTGTCCCCAAATAAGGGGAATTATCAGATGGTTCCCCCAGAAACTGCCTTTGTAATTGGGGGATTATTTTCTATAGGCTTACCTGTTATGCCTGTTAAAAAAGCTAGGTCGATCTTACGACACTTGCAAAGGTTAGTAAAAATGCCATGCCCTTGTGCGAAATAAAATGAGTCACATTTCTCTTTAAAGTACCGAGGTTAAACAAGTTCCAGTGTTTCAGAGTGCACTCCAGAGGGGTGCAAGCTGAAGATAGTCTGTTACCCATCTAGAAAAAGAAGTGAAAATAAAAGCATCCTTTTAGTCCTTCTTTCTTTCATTGTGACCCAGGGTGGAGCGGGAGGAGAAGACAGTGGGAGCATCCCCCCAACTATTTTCTCTCCTCAGTTCCTAAGTCCCAGCACTGTGTTAAATATTCCACCCAAGGTTGCAGGCGTAGCCTTCCAAGCCATGGAACCAGATGAACTAAGTGATTGGATTAACTATGCTTTACCCACAGAACCTCAGCTTATCTGCCTGTTGTGATCCCCTTTGACTTCCTAAACTTGTGTGATCTGCCTGGCTCCCTGAAAAATGGATCTCCAGAGAGTCTATGTCATCTTTGGTCAAGGCTCCTTTAATGGAGGGAATGTTCTATATTGCCTGCTACTACAGCCTGTGCTAAAACATTTACCCTTAGCAAAATGGTTCCAGTTAACTTCTGAACTTAAAAACTTCTTACTAATTAACTACTGTTCCAACTGGAGACAGAAATGAATGTGGGGACCTAATGACAATTTTCCTGCTGATGGTGAGAGGTGAAGCCAGCTGGGCTTCTGGGTCAGGTGGGGACTTGCAGAACTTTTGTGTCTAGCTAAAGGATTGTAAATGCACCAATCAGCGCTCTGTGTCTAGCTAAAGGATGGTAAACGCACCAATCAGCACTCTGTAAATGGACCAATCAGCACTCTGTAAAGTGGACCAATCAGCTCTCCGTAAAATGGAGCTGATTGTGGGTGGGGCCAAATAAGCGAATAAAAGCTGGCCACCCGAGCCAGCAGTGGCAAACCGCTAGGGTCCCCTTCCACACTGTGGAAGCTTTGTTCTTTTGCTCTTCCCAATAAATCTTGCTGCTGCTCACTCTTTGGGTCCACACTACCTTCATGAGCTGTAACACTCACTGCGAGGGTCTGTGGCTTCAATCCTGAAGTGAGCAAGAGCATAAACCCACCGGGAGGAACAAACAACTCCAGATGTACCAACTTTTAAGATCTGTAACGCTCACTGCGAAGATATGTGGCTTCACTCCTGGAGTCAGCAAGACCACAAACCCACCAGAAAAAAGAAACTCTGGACACATCTGAACATCTGAAGGAACAAACTCCAGCCACACCATCTTTAAGAGCTGTAACACTCACTGTAAGGGTCAATGGCTTCATTCTTGAAGTCAGTGAGACCAAGAACCCACTGGAAGGAATAAATTCCATACACAATGAGACAGTATCAGATCTAAAATCTGGTCATGGAGGACATTTTACTCCTAATTGTTGATGGCAGAGCTTTCCTGTTCACAGAAGGATCTTTTCCAGCAGCACGAAAAAAGAGGATTAGAGAACTGCAGTGTTACCAGACTGACAATGTGCCTCATGAAGAGGATTTCTATTTCCACTAGATGGTTATGTTGGCTTAGAAATACCATGTACTCACCAGAGAGAGGATAGAGAGAGATGCTTATTGGGTTACTGCCTGTGGCGATTGCCTATCTTTCCTAAAAGAACTGTTTGCCTCAACTGTAAAAATTTTTGCACATTGCACACACACAGAGAATAAGAGACAAGTGACCACAGAGAGAAAAGGAAGAAAAATTTTGTGACAGGATAGCTGGAGATCCATTACCAACACCCAGATGGCTGACGGAGGCTGGGTTCAGTCCAGACTCCTTTGAAAAACACCAGGGTGTGCCCTGGCCAGAAATTCTCATTTGCTGGAGGACTTCTCACAGCCTAACACAATGGCTAGGAATTCCATGAAAGGAAACTGGTTTGAATAAAGCCTTGAGATTAAAGGACAAATTTGAAGTTCACTCCATACTCACCACTCTGATGTTTCTACCTTCCATTCTGATTCTGATCCCAAACGAGCCCCCAAAATGAAACGGCTCTGTTGTCTGGTGTATATACCCTGGTCCTTGGTCATGCTGGAGAAAGAATTCAGAATACATGTTTTTCAAACTCAACTAATAACATGTTTAAAACATGATCCTTTTATTGTAAGTTGTAATTCAATAAAGTTGATTAAGAATATCCAGCTTTAGGTATCTTTATATGTTTGTGACGTAAAAATATACACAATTTTTTGAAAGTTTCTGTTGAGATCTGTTAGAAACATGAAAATAAATAATGTCTTACAAGTTTAATCAATCTTCATTGCTTACTGTAAAACTTTCACAATTAACTCAAATTAAATATTGCTTAATAAAAAAATTCCTGTTTTTATGTAACATTGTTTCCAATCCTAATAATTCATTTTTACATTATTTAAATCTTTATCTAAATAGTTCTGCTTTGTATTTTCATTATTTTTCTAACTTTTATTTTAAGTTCATGGGTACATGTGCAGGTTTGTTACATAGATAGTTAAACTTGTGTCATGGGGGTTCATTGTACAGATTATTTTGCCACTCAGGTATTAAGCCTAGAACCCATTAGTTATTTTTCCTGATCCTCTCCCTCCTTTTACCCTCTACCCTGCAATAAGCCCCAGTGTGTGTTGTTTCTCTCTATGTGTCCATGTGTTTTCATCATTTAGCTCCTACTTATAGGTGAGAACATGGGGTATTTGGTTTTCTGTTCCTACATTAGTGTTCTAAGGATAATGGCCTCCAGTTCCGTCCATATTCTTTCAAAGGTCATGATATAATCGGTGGCCATTTAGATTGATTTCATGTCTTTGCTATTCTGAATAGTGCTGTAATGAACGTGTGCATACATGTGGCTTTATAATAGAACAATTTATATTCCTCTGGGTATATACCCAGTAATGGGATTGCTGGGTCAAACGGTAGTTCTGTTTTCAGCTCTTTGAGGAATTGCCACACTGTCTTCCACATGGTTGAACTAATTTACCCTCTCACCAACAGTGTATAAGCATTCCTTTTTCTCTGCAATCTCACCAACATCTGTTATTTTTTGACTTTTTAGTAATAGCCATTCTGACTGGTATGAAATGGTATCTCATTGTGGTTTTGATTTGCATTTGTCTAATGATCAGTGATGCTGAGCTTTTCTTCACATGATTGTTGGCCGTATATATGTCTTCTTTTGAAAAGTGCCTGTTTATGCCCTTTGCACACTTTTTAATGTGGTTGTTTCATTTTTTTCTTGTCAACCTGTTTAAGTTCCTTATAAATGCTGTGTATTAGACCTTTGTCAGATACGTAGTTGCAAAAATTTTCTCTCATTTTGTGGGCTGTCTGTTTACTCCATTGATAGTATCCTTTGCTGTGCAGAAGCTCTTTACTTTAAATAGAAATATTTATATATCCTAGTGCTTATCATTTGTCAATTTTTGCTTTTGTAGCAATTGCTTTTGGCAGCTTCATCATGAAATCTTTGCCTTTTCCTGGGTCCATAATGGTATTGCCTAGGTCTTTCAGGGTTTTTTAGAGCTTTATGTTTTACATTCAAGTCTTTAATCCATCTTGAGTTCATTTTTATGTATGGTGTAAGGAAAAGGTCCAGTTTCAGTTTTCTACATATGGCTAGCCAGTTATCCCAGCATCATTTATTTAATAGGGAATCCTTTTCCAATTGTTTGTTTTTGTCAAGTTTGTCGAAGATCAGATAGTTGTAGGCATGCAATCTTATTTCTGTATTCTCTATTCTGTTCCATTGGGCTGTGTGTCTGTTTTTAAACCAGTACCATTTTGTTTGGTTACTATAGTCCTGCAGTATAGTTTGAAGTTGGGTAGCATGATGCTCCATCTTTATTGTTTTTGCTTAAGATTGCCTTTGTTATTATGGCTCTTTTTTGGGTGCATTTGAATTTTAAAATATATTTTTCTAGTTCTGTGAAGAATGGCAATAGTAGTTTCATAGGAATAGCATTAAATCTATGTATTGCTTTGGGTAGTATGGCCATTTTCACAATTGATTCTTCCTATCCATGAGCCTGGAATGTTGTTCCATTTGTGTCATCACTGATTTCTTTGAGCAGTGTTTTATAGTTCTCCTTGTGGAGATCTTTTACCTCCCTGGTTAGCTTTATTCCTAGGTATTTTATTCCTAGGTATTTTTGTGGCAATGGTGAATGGGATTGCATTCCTGATTTGGCTCTAGCTTGACTGTTGTTGGTGTATAGGAATGTTAGTGAGTTTTGCATATTGACTTTGTGTCCTGAGACTTTGCTGAAGCTGTTTATCAGCTTATCAAGCTTTTGGGCTCAGAATATGCGGTTTTCTAGATATAGAATAATGTAATCTGCAAGCAGGCATAGTTTTACTTTCTCATTTTCTATTCGAATACGTTTTATTTCATTCATTTGCCCAACTGCCCTGGCCAAAACTTCCAATATTATGTTAAAAAGGAGAGACCACCATTGTCTTGTGCCAGTCTTTAGGGGGAATGCTTCCAGATTTTGCCTATTCAGTGTGAGGTTGGCTGTGAGTTTGTCAATAGAAGACACTTATTATATCAAAGTATGTTCCTTCAATACCTGGTTTATTGAGAGTTTTTAACATGAAGGAGTTTTGAATTTTACTGAAAGCCTTTAATGCATCTATTGAAATAATCATGTGTTTTTGTCCTCAGTTTGATTGGGATGAATTACATTTATTGATTTGCATATGTTGAACCAGCCTTGAATCCCGGGAATGAAGCCAACTTGATTGTGGTGGATAAGCTTTTTGACGTGCTGCTGGATTCAGTTTGTCAATATTTGTTAAGGATTTTTGAACTGATATTCATCAAGGATACAGGCTTAAGTTTTTTGTTGTTGTTGTTTTTGTGTTTCTGCCAGATTTTGATATCAAGAAGATGCTGGCCTCACAGAATGAGTCAGGGTAGAATCCCTCCTCCTCAATTTTTTAAAATAGTTTCAGCAGAAATGGTACCAGATTTTATTTGTGCATCTGGTACAATTCAGCTGTGAATCCACTGTATCCTGGGCCTTTTTTGGTTGGTAGGCTATTCATTACTGCCTCAATTTCAGAACTTGTTATTGGTCTGTACAGGGGTTCAATTTCTTCCTGGTTCGATCTTGAGAGGGTGTATGTGTCCAGGAATTTATCCATTTCTTCTAGAATTTATATTTTATGTGCATAGAGGTGTTTATAATATACTCTGATTATTATTTGTATTTCGGTGGGGTCAGTGGTAATACCCTACTTGTCATTTCTGATTGTGTTTATTGAGTCTTCTCTCCTGTATTAGTCTAGCTAGCAGTCTATTTTATTTTTTCAGAGAAACAGCTCCTGGATTTGTTGATCTTTTGATTCTTTATTTAGTGACTCAATCTCCTTCAGTTCAGCTCTGATTTTGGCTATTTCTTGTCTTCTCCTATCGTTGGGATTTATTTTTTCTTGGTTGTCTAGTTCTCTTAGTTGTGAAGTTAGGTTGTTAACTTGAGACCTTTCTAACTTGTTAATGTGGGCATTTAGTGCTACAAATTTCCCTGTTAACACTGCATTAGCTGTGTCCCAGAGATTCCAGCGTGTTGTATCTTTGTTCTCATTAGTTTCAAAGAACTACTTGATTCTTGCCTTAATTTCATTATTTACCTAAATGTCATTCTGGAGGTTACTTGATTTCCATGTAATTGTATGGTTTTGAGTAAATTTCTTAGTCTTGATTTCTAATTTGATTATGCTGTGGTCAGAGGGATTGTTTATTATGATTTCAGTTTTTTTGCATTTGCTGAGGAGTGTTTTATTTCTGATTATGTTATCAATTTTAGAGTACATGTCACGTGGCAATAAGAATAATGTATACTCTGTTGTTTTTTGGTGGAGAGTTCTGTAGATATCTCTAAGGGCCGTTTGATCTTGTGCTGAATTAATGTCCTGTAAATCTTTGTTAATTTTCTTTCATGATGATCTGTTTAATATTGTCAGTGGGGTGTTAAAGTTTCCAACTATTACTGTGTGGGAGTCTAAGTCTCTTTGAAGTTTTCTAAGAACTTGTTTTATGAATCTGGGTTGCTCTTGTGTTGGGTGCATATATATTTAGGATAGTTAGATCTTCTTGTTGAATTGAACCATTTACATTTATATAATACCCCTTTTTGTCTTTTTTGGTATTTGTTGGTTTAAGTCTGTTGTGTCTGAACTTAGGATTGCAAACCCTGCTTTTTTTGTGTGTGTTTTCCATTTGCTTGGTAAATTATCTCCATTCCATTATTTTGAGACTGTGTGTGTCATTGCATGTGAGATGGGTCTCTTGAAGATGGCATACCATTGGGTTTTGGTTCTTTATCCAGCTTTCCACTCTGTGCCTTTTAATTTGGGCATTTATCCCATTTACATTTAAAGTTAGTATTGACGTGTGGATGTGATTCTGTTATTATGATGTTTCGCAGGCTTGCTTATGTGGTTGCTTTATAGTGTCCCTGTTCTGTGTACTTCAGTGTGTTTTTGTCATGGCTGGTAATGTTTTTTGCTTTCCATATTTCATGCTTCCTTCAGGAGCTCTTGCAAGGCAGGCCTGGTGGTAACAAATTTCCCCAGCTTTTGCTTGTCTGTAAAGAATCTTATTTATCCTTTGCTTATAAAGCTTTGGCCAGATAAGAAATTTTGGGTTGGAAATTATCTTCTTTGAGAAGGTTGAATATTGGCCCCCAATCTCTTCTAGTCTGTAGGGTTTCTGTTGAGAGGTCTGCTGTTAGTCTAATTGTCTTCCCTTTGAACATAATCTAACCTCTCTCTCTAGCTGCCTTTAACATTTTTTCCTTCATTTCGACCTTGGATAATCTGATGATTATGTGTCTTGGGATGACATTCTCATCAAGTATCTTACTGGGGTTCTCTTCATTTCATGAATTTGAATATTGGTCCCTCTATCTAGGTTGGGGAAGTTCTCATGGATGATATCTTAGAATATAGTTTCCATATTAGTTCAATCATCCCATCTCTTTTAGGGACATAAATGAGTCATAGATTTGGCCTCTGCATAATTCCATATTTTTTAGAGCTTTGGTTCATTCCTTTGCATTATTTTATTTGACTCTTGTATTTCAGAAAGCCAGTCTTCAAGCTCTAGGTTCCTTCCTCCATTTGGTCTATTCTGCTATTAATACTTGTGATTGCATTATGAAATACTTGTAATGTGTTTTTCTATTAAGTCAGTTACATTCTTTTCTATAGTGGTTATTTTGTGTGTCAGTTCCTGCATTTTTTATCATAATATTTAGCTTTCTTGGATTGAGCTTCAACATCCTCCTGTGGCTCAATTATCTTCTTTCCTATCCATATTCTGAATTCTATTTCTGTCATTTCAGTCATCTCATATCTGTTCAGAACCCTTGCTGGAGAATTGATGCAGTCATTTGGAGAAAAAAAGGCACTCTGGCTTTTTGAGTTTTCAGGGTCCTTGTGCTGATTCTTTCTCACCTTTGTGGGATTATCTGCCTTCAAGCTTTGAGGTTTCTGACCTTCGGATTGTTTTGATTCCCCTTTTGTCCTATTAACTTTGAGGGTTTGGTCATGGTATAAGGTGCATTCAGCCATCTGGCTTTGTTTTTGGAAGATTTTAGGGGGACAATTCTCAGTTTCCAAATCCTGGACTGCATGCTCTAACTCTTGGGGACTTGGATTGGGCACCACTTTTGTTCTCTGTCTCCTCAAGTTTAGGACTCTACTGCACTGGAGGGACTGAAATGCATCAGGAGAGTGCTAGCAGAGCCTGGGTGCCTGCTCCTTCCAGCATTCACCACAGTGGTGGAAGCCTTATAGCTTGGGAGGGTGGTCTGCTGGTGACTGTGCATGTGATCACACTGGAGGTGGTATTGGCTCTGGAGCAAAGTGCTGGCAGGTGCAGGTCTGTGTACCTTCTCTTTGTTCTGCAAGCAGGAGTGGTCACTCAGTGTGGGGGAGGATCTGCTGTTCTCTGCACAGTGTTAGCACAAGGGCAAGTTGCCTGCAGGGGAAGGGCTGGTTGACTCTGTGTCTGCCAAGGCTCTATATGCAATGGTGGTTAGTGGGGAGAGAGAACGGGACTGTACTCCTGCATGCTGGTGAGGAAATCAAAACCCACCTATGTAGACAGATGCCAGCAAAGTGATGTGAGGAGTTGCTATGGGCCTGGAATAAGCAGCAGTATGGGGAAAAGTTGCCAGGCTGGTACACAGCCAAAGGGGCCAGCTCGCTGGAGCTCTCTGCTGGTTGGGCAAGGTCTGCCAGCCAGAAGCTATGGTGCAGGCCCTCAGGGCACCCAACACTGCCCTACAAGCAGGCATGGCCAGGCTGGGGTCCCAGGAGAGACCAGGACACCAAGGCCTACTCAGGTCAAACTACTCCCATCTGATGGGCAAAACTACCCTGCAGAGATCAGGTCCAACAGTTCCCTTGGGCTAAAGTGTCTTGTGGGAGCAAGTTGAGTTGAAGGGGATGTGTGACCCTGGCCATGCTCCACTACAGAAGCTCCTGCACCAGACCCTCTTGGCTCTACATGAGCTGGCTTGTTGCCCCTACCACTTCTCTAAGCAGCTCTCCCTGCCAACTCAAGTGTCCATAGTGATCAAGGGGTCTCCTCTTGGTGGTGTTTCAGAGGCCTCAGGAAAGAGCAAGTTGCTCCTTCCCAGTTCAACTCACCCTTTCCTCCAGAGCTGAACCAGGAGCAGGTCCCAGTGTGCAGTAGCCCTGTGCAGGGCTCCCAGCTTCCTCCCCCTTCAGCCCAGCCTCTGTGTCTTCTCTCCATCCACTTTTAGTGCCTTCTCTCTGAAGATCTGTCAGGAGCATGCAAGTCGTCTCATTCCCTCAGTGTGAGCTGTTCCACCTGGCTGCATCTAGTCAGCCATCCTGCCCCCACCTTGGCTTCTACTTTTTATATTTAAACCAGCTATAAAAATATAAAGATTAAAGTATATAAAAAGTGTATTTCAGCACTTTTTACTTGTCTGGAGGAAAAACAGTTTTATAAATCTCACCAGAAGTCATTAGAATAAGATTTATAGTGCACATTTTCTTATATTGTATCCAAGACATATAAAAAGTTTTAAATTTGGTTCACATATCAGTGGTTTATAACAATGGAGTCACTTTTCTTTTGTCTATACCTACTATTTGCTTTTTTATGAAAGCATTTTTTTTTTACAATGAGGAGTGACTGGGGAAGAAGGGGTCAATGAGTCCATCATTTAAACTTTTAAAGTCATTATGTCACAATGGGAATTCTACTCAGCAACAGCAGCTCATAGAACTGAACAGAAGTAGTGCCTTGACTCATGTTTTAACATATAGACTTATTAATCACTTGCATAACAAAAAAGGTCAATTCAAATTATTGGATATCCCTATAAAGCCTTTTGGGCAAATACACCTGATTCCTAAGCCTTAAAATATTTTATTTGCATGTATATAAAATATATTGCCATTTAAATGATGCACATTTTAGAAATGTGGTGGATCACTGTGGTCCTTAAGTCCTTCCTCATATACATCTGAAGACTAAATATCTCTGTAATACATTGTCTCTGCCTTGTGTCTTGAATATTTCTTTTATTTATCTTGCTTTTAAAGTAATACAATCATAAAACTTTGAGAGTAGTCAGACCTCAAGCCACATTAGTTAAAACTTATGGGACAGTAGTTCCTCTTTGGAGAAAAGAAATCATAAGTATCCCCATGTTATGGGATTCTGCAACCCAGAGAGAACCCTTGGAAAGAGTTTACAACATAAGAATCCAAGTAGGTTGACTTCAGGCTAGACTTGAGCAGACTATTCGATAAATCACTGAGAGTATTTTAAGAGTGATGTGTATATATATGTGTGTATATATATATATATATTGCTAGGATAAAATTTATGATTTGTAAATTACTTACGAAAGTACTGGGAAAATGGTCAGTTCATTTGGGCAGTATTCCAGCCATATTCAGCCTGTATTTGAAGCATTAAGAACACAAAGGTAGTCACTATGACTATATCAGGGTTAAAGAATTCCCTTTCAATACTCCATTGATTAAACAAATATTTACTGATTATGTATATTTGTGAAATAATTCTTCATCGCTCTTTAGCATTTCTGTATCTCTTGAGAGCAGAGGCATGAACTAGCCTTTTGTTCCAGAAAAATCTTTCCAAGGATGTTTATATAAAACAGAACATAGAGATAGCCAGTGCTTCATCCAAATAAGGCTCTCCTTGTACTAATACTTATCTTTCATTTTCTTGGGGTTTCTTTTATAATTTATTTTGTTTTTTAATTTGAATGTCTTTATTGGTATATTATAATTTAACAAAGTGCAATTTTAGCTTAACAAAAGCCACTCTATTCTCATAACACTTTCTCTATAAAATGTGGAAGTTTTGCAGAGAGAGGGTGAGTTATTTCCCTTAGGGAGAGAAAGTATTAAGATTTAACCTCTTTTTTTTAGCTTAAATGTTATTTGTCCCTTTTTTATAATTGAGATGGTATCTGCTGAGATTTGCAGGCTGGTGTGTACCTGAAGGCTTTGCTTTCTCTTGCATAGGGGGACACATCATAAATAAGATGGGCAGCTGGCCTAGTCATCTAATGCAGTGATGTCTAATTTGAAAGTCACACGTTCAATCTTGCCCGCAAATGTGTTTTGGTTGACCTGCCAGTATAAAAAAAAAACCAATAGCTTTCAAATTCAGTCTGTGTTCATATTCCTAACTGTTCTTGAAATATTTGAAGATGAGGCCATACTACCACAGTCCCCATGACAGCAATGGCTGTAAGAGAATAGTACCGGATCCTCTCAGATGAAACATGTGCTTTCCAGTTTTCTGGCCCATCTGCTTCACTTGCCCTGTCAGATTCCTATAATTAATAACTTGTTAATGACCCATGGTTTGATTTCTTGTCTCCTATGCACAAAACAGCAAGAACGGTATTTCATAAATATCAATCACATCATGTGATTTCCTGAACTGACCCTTCCCGTGGCTTTCTCTCCCACATAGAAAATAATCTTTTAAAAAATAATAAAAATAATAAAAAAATAAAATAATAAAAAAGTTTTATTTTGCTCTAGAAAGCCCCATATGATCTTAGCCCATTTCGCAGACCTTATTTCTTATTATACTTTCTTCACCCACCCCCATTATCTCTATTTATATGGAACTTCTTTCTCCCTGTTACCTGAACATGATAAGGTCATTTATCAGGATTTTTTGCACTTGCTGTCTTTTATGTTAGGAGCACACATAGCATGTTATCTCTCTCCCAGTGGCTTCTTTTCAGAGTCTTTACAATACCCTCCTTCAGTCAGCTCTATACACTGTTGTAAAAATAATCTCTGACACACAACCAATCTTGTCATTAATCTGATTTAAATCCATCAAGAATTTTCCACTAACCACAGTGTAACAGTAAAACTCATTGGCATGATATACAAGGCCTACCGAATCCAGATTGAATATACATTTAGGTCTTATACTCCCACTCTTCCTTTATGAAACATATGCTGTACAGACTGTACCATTTTCCAATTGGGTGAGAATTTCCATAGCTTTGCTTTTACTAGGCTGGTGAAGAAGTAATTGTGGTTTTGCCATGAAAACTGCAATTACTTTTGCACCAACCCAATATGTTTGTGGTTATTCTCTTGGCCTGACTTTCCCCTTTCTTACCAAAAATCTAACCCAAACTATCATTCCCAGTCAAAAATATGCATAATTCATTAGGCATCTTCTGTGATACTGCAGCATTTTCTTAGACTTTTAAAATAAAAATAAATAAATAAAATAAAACCAGTGTGTTGAATGCTGTTTAAGTTACTCCTAAAGAGACTCCGAGTTCACTGAAAATAACAATAGAGTTTATACTCCAGTATAGAGCATATTCTCAACAAATTTATTAAATTCAAGCGAAAACTAGTGAAATTCATATCTGATTGCAGTTTAGTACTATGAGAAGACTTCAAAATCAATGCTTAGTAGTCATTGGCTCAGTTCTGTTCCCCTTAGGTGACTCAAAAAAAAAAATTCAACGTGCAAAGGAAATTGGGTTTGGACTTTGATTATGATTATGCAAGACAAACTATAGTGTAGGAAGCTTGTCCAACACACTTTATTTTATTGTTGTTCTGCTTTGTTTTGTTTTAGGCTTTTAGCATACTGAAGCCATGGTTTTTAGTTTCTGCCTCTAGTGATAAGTGGAAAAGAGGATGAGGAAAGGGCCTTACTGGCCCAACCAGAAACAGAAACCAAGAACCCATGAGTTTTTTCTCTCACTTGGACACTCCTGGGAGGTGATTTTGTATCATGTAACTTGATTCATTCAGATAGAAAACTCAAGTCCTATTGTAGCAGGGCATTGTCCATACAGATCATAGCTTAATAGCCAAACTTGGTTTCTTCTGAGAATAGAAAAGCCTTAACTTTATGGAATAAAGTAAAATTCTCATGGTTTGCAGTCAAGAAGAGACACTTTTGCTTGCTTCAATAAAGACAAAAGCAAGCACAACCTTCATGTTTGGGTCAGTTTCCTTTATCTTCCAAATTTCAAGAAGATGACATGATGAGTCCCAGGTGGATGCTGCATGAGCAATAGCTTTGTAGCATACTTCAGGAACTCAGAGTTTAGGGAATCCAAATATTTCGTAATTGCCTACAAGTAAACAGGGATAAGCTTTGCTCCAGATAGAAACACTATCCATTGATCTATATCTCTGTTTTGGTACCAGTACCATGCTGTTTTGGTTACTGTAGCCTTGTAGTATAGTTTGAAGTCAGGTAGCGTGATGCCTCCGGCTTTGTTCTTTTGGCTTAGGATTGACTTGGTGATGCGGGCTCTTTTTTTGGTTCCATATGAACTTTAAAGTAGTTTTTTCCAATTCTGTGAAGAAAGTCATTGGTAGCTTGATGGGGATGGCATTGAATCTATAAATTACCTTGGGCAGTATGGCCATTTTCACAATATTGATTCTTCCTACCCATGAGCATGGAATGTTCTTCCATTTGTTTGTAACCTCTTTTATCTCATTGAGCAGTGGTTTGTAGTTCTCCTTGAAGAGGTCCTTCACATCCCTTGTTAGTTGGATTCCTAGGTATTTTAGTCTCTTTAACACAATTGTGAATGGGGGTTCACTGATGATTTCGCTCCCCGTTTGTTGGTTATTGGGGTATAGGAATGCTTGTGATTTTTACACATTGATTTTGTATCCTGAGACTGCTGAATTTGCTTATCAGCTTAAGGAGATTTTGGGCTGAGACGATGGGGTTTTCTAAATATACAATCATGTCATCTTCAAACAGGGACAATTTGACTTCCTTTTTTCCTAATTGAATACCCTTTATTTCTTTCTCCTGCCTGATTGCCCTGGCCAGAACTTCCAACAGTATGTTGAATAGGAGTGGTGAGAGAGGGCATCCCTGTCTTGTGCCAGTTTTCAAAGGGAATGCTTCTAGTTTTTGCCCATTCAGTATGATATTGGCTGTGGGTTTGTCATAAATAGCTCTTATTATTTTGAGATACGTCCCATCAATACCTGATTTATTGAGAGTTTTTAGCATGAATGGTTGTTGAATTTTGTCAAAGGCCTTTTCTGCATCTATTGAGATAATCGTGTGGTTTTTGTCTTTGTTTCTGTTTATATGCTGGATTACATTTATTGATTTGTGTATGTTGAACCAGCCTTGCATCCCAGGTATGAAGCCCACTTGATCATGGTGGATAAGCTTTTTGATGTGCTGCTGGATTCGGTTTGCCAGTATTTTATTGAGGATTTTTGCATCAATGTTCATCAAGGATATTGGCCTAAAATTCTCTTTTTTGGTTGTGTCTCTGCCAGGCTTTGGTATCAGGATGATGTTGGCCTCTCAGAAATAATGCTGCATATCTACAACCATCTGATCTTTGACAAACCTGACAAAAACAAGAAATGGGGAAACGATTCCCTATTTAATAAATGGTGCTGGGAAAACTGGCTAGCCTTATGGAGAAAGCTGAAACTGGATCCCTTCCTTACACCTCATACAAAAATTAATTCAAGATGGATTAAAGACTTACATGTTAGACCTAAAACCATAAAAACCCTAGAAGAAAACCTAGGCAATACCATTCAGGACATAGACATGGGCAAGGACTTCATGTTTAAAACACCAAAAGCAATGGCAACAGAAGCCAAAATTGACAAATGGGGTCTAATTAAACTAAAGAGCCTCTGCACAGCAAAAGAAACTACCATCAGAGTGAACAGGCAACCTACAAAATGGGAGAAAATTTTCGCAACCTACTCATCTGACAAAGGGCTAATATCCAGAATCTACAATGAACTCAAACAAATTTACAAGAAAAAAACATACAACCCCGTCAAAAAGTGGGCAAAGGACATGAACAGACACTTCTCAAAAGAAGACATTTATGCAGCCAAAAAACACATGAAAAAATGCTCATCATCACTGGCCATCAGAGAAATGCAAATCAAAACCACAATGAGATACCATCTCACACCAGTTAGAATGGCAATCATTAAAAAGTCAGGAAACAACAGGTGCTGGAAAGGATGTGGAGAAATAGGAACACTTTTACACTGTTGCTGGGACTATAAACTAGTTCAACCATTGTGGAAGTCAGTGTGGCGATTCCTCAGGGATCCAGAACTAGAAATACCATTTGACCCAGCCATCCCATTACTGGGTATATACCCAAAGGATTATAAATCATGCTGCCATAAGGACACATGCACACATATGTTTATTGTGGCACTATTCACAATAGCAAAGACTTGGAACCAACCCAAATGTCCAACAACGATAGACTGGATTAAGAAAATGTGGCACATATACCCCATGGAATACTATGCAGCCATAAAAAATGATGAGTTCATGTCCTTTGTAGGGACATGGATGAAGCTGGAAGCCATCATTCTCAGCAAACTATCGCAAGGACAAAAAACCAAACACTGCATGTTCTCACTCATAGGTGGGAATTGAACAATGAGAACACATGGACACAGGAAGGGGAACATCACACTCCAGGGACTGTTGTGGGGTGGGGGGAGGGGGGAGGGATAGCATTAGGAGATATACCTAATGCTAAATGATGAGTTAATGGGTGCAGCACACCAACATGGCACACGTATACATATGTAACAAACCTGCACATTGTGCACATGTACCCTAAAACTTACGGTATAATAATAATAAAACTAAAAAAAAAGAAACACTATCCAAATTATACTGAACAGTAAGCAAACCTTCTCTGGAGGGAAGCACTCTCTTTTGTGCCTTGTCAAATCATGTCATGCAAATATGAGCATTCGCAGAATCAAAATAAAAAACATTCTGAAAAATAGAAAAATGAAATAAGAGTGTAGGTGCAAGTGCCTTATTTGGTTAAAGAACTGACTATGTATTTAGAAACAGAAGGGACATATATTAAAAGTTAGCATTGTTTGCTAGTGAGATTATCGGTGTCCTTAGAATATTTGATAACATATTTACATGTTGCCAGTCATTTTCTGGAGAAAATCTCTTATGGTAGCAAATTCAAGGTGATAGTTAGCCAACAAATAAGATATTAGTGAGAAGGGAGACAAATTTATTCCCGCAGATTAAACTAATCATAGCCTCTTCTCCTTTCTGGCAGAAGCCAGTTCCTTCTATTCATAACTAAACCAGCCTTCCAAAAGAATCAGGCTCTCAATTCAGTCATAACATAAAAGTAAAAAAAAAGTCTGGATTTCTGACTTTCTGTAAATATTTTTACCTGTGAATTTATAGACAGCTACATTTTATTCCTTTGCTTTCTTTCATATATTTAAAATATTGAGCATTTGCATCAATAAAGCCACAGAAGATATATTTCTATTTATGTGACAGTATAAAAACAACTAATGGGAAAACTGCCATGCCAATTCCAAAGTATGAGGGATCAATTGTTGGACAGATTGATTGTTGCCTTCCAGTCTATGACAATGGTGGGGAGGGAGCTGGTTTGAGGAAAAGAGGCAATAGACTGCTGCTAATCCTGAAAATATATTTCTGGCTTTTTCTTCATTCAATCTCATGCATTTTCTTCTTTCTGTCTGATTTGGACTTGCCACTAGCATCTGAGATTATATGGTGCTTGCCTCTTACAAAGGGAAGTTTGTAACTAGTTTGCATTTTTAAAGCTTCTACAGAATAAAGAAATTTCTGATAACCCTCCCATCCAAACCAATTAGAGAAAAACTGCTGAATTTGTGACTTTATCAGGTTTCAGGGAAATCTCACATATCCAAAATCAAGCATTCTTTATAAAAATTGTGCCATTTTCAGACATTTACTTTTCTTGAACCTCCTTGAAAGTCATTGCAAAAGCAAAGTGTTTCAGAAATAAGTACACTTACTTCTAACTAGCAGTCTCATAGACCATCAGTTGACATTTTTAAAGATACAGAAAATTTCAGGCAAAAACATTTAAAATTTGCTTTTTTCCTCACTAGGAGGATGCATTTGATTATACATTTTAGATTATTTAACACAATATTTATGTGGCATATAGAGTCTTTGCTATGACTTCCAGATCTTTTAATATGAAAAAAATATTGAAAATAGTCAATTGCATTTGTCTTTAAACTTAGATTATAATAAAACTGATTTACTTTACCAGACAAACTATAGAGTAATGATTAATAGTACAGATCTTGGAGCCAGAATGCCCAGATTTGAATCATAACTCTGCTATTTAATAGCTGTGTTATCTTGAAATATCAGGCAAGTTATTAATATCTCTGCACTTCGGTTTTATCATATTTAAAATAGGGATGATAATGAAGCTTTCTAAGGTTGATGTGAGGATTAAATGAGTCAATGTTGGTGAATTTTGAATATTATCTAGAATTTGGTACATGATGGAGGGGTAGTTAACTATCCTTATTAAGATTAATGAGCCAAACAAGCTCTGCATAATGTTAGGCATCTTATTTATTAACAATGGTCCAATTGGGACATAGCACTCAGCAGTACAATATGAACGTTCTATCAGAACCTGCTTTCCTGTGGATTCCTCAATTGGAAAATAAAGCAAGGGAGAACTGTATCACCAAAAACATGAATGTAAAGGAAACAATCTTCATATTTGATATGGTTTAGCTGTGTCCCTACCCAAATCTAATCTCAAACTGTAATCCCCATAATCCCCACGTGTCAAGGGCAGGTCCTGGTGGGAGGTGATTGGACCATGTGGGCAGTTTTCCTCATGCTGTTCTCTGATAGTGAGTGAGTTCTTACAAGGTCTAATGGTTTTATAAGTGTTTGACATTTCCTCCTACACACATTTACTTTTGCTCACCTGCTGCCATGTAAGACGCACCTGCTTCCCCTTCTGCCACGATTGTAAGTTTCCTGAGGCCCCTACAGCCATGTGGAACTGTGAGTCAATTAAACCTCTTTCTTTCTTTATAGCAGTGTGAAGATGAACTAATACAATACTTAATAATATTAATTTTATTTCAACAGCAAAAGTAATCATTGATTATAAAGATGACCCAGAAATATCTTTTTAATGTCTAGGGCACAATATCTGGAACTTGTAGTTGTTTAGTTTCAGAAACTCATAATTTTCAGATACCAACTTATAATTTTCAGATATTTATTTTAAAAATGTCCTGCCTTCTGAAAGAGTAATATAGCTTTGTTTTTCTCATTATTGTTTTTATGTTTAGCTTATGAGGAACCATAACAATTTATAATTTTTGTGGCACAAAGATGAACTATATGTATTTATTTATTTTTACCATATTAACTATGAGACCTATTTTCCTCAGGAACAGATCATATCATTGGCAATCTAGGCATTCTCCTAACCCAGTCATGCCCTAGAAGGTTGGCCACCAGAAATGTTAAAACAGGTCGTTATAAAGGGCATGAATATAAAAACAAGAGACTGCCCTGAGGAGGAGGTGCCAGCCTCTGGCCAAGCATTGAGGTTTCTCTGGCCCAAGCAAATCACTGAGCCTGCTCCAAGTTTTGCCTTCTCTGCCATCATTGTTGACATGGTGTTGGAGACTGGCAGATAATTTAACATTGTGGTTCCAATTCTAATTGTCTATGTGTTCACAAGCTGTTATTAGTTTTTAATAATATGTCAATGTTACTATTATTATTATTACTCTTCTTATTATAACTATTTTCAAATAGAAATTGGTCTGTTTAGAACAGATCCCTGTTAATCTCTCATTAACTGATTCCTGACTTCACCATTTGATTTCTTTAACTCCTAGACCAAATCTACATTTGTTGCTTCTGATGTAAACATCTTAATGTCTGCCTATCTCATAATAGTCTTATTATTCTTAAAAAATAGAATAGAAAAAGAAGCAAAATTTATTTTCACAGTTTATATTTTATCTTTATCATTTATTGACTAATCACTACACATTGAGAAGTTCCTTTTATTTGGTGGATATATTTAAGAGTCTAGCTTACGGTCTTGGAAATTGTACCCAAGGAAGAGCATAGCTTTCTGTGTGTTAGCATCACTGACATTAATTTTACAATTATGTACCTCTCTATACTTAACCTTAGTTACATGTTTCTCATTCCATATTTTGTACATATTCTAATTTATCTCTTTGTTCTTTAAAGAGCTCTCTGTATAACCATGTTGCTTTGAGAAATGTGGCTTAGTAATTTCTCAAGGACAGTTGGAAAAAAGTTTAAATTGTTTATAAATATTGTAAGAAATTGCCACCTTTCCCTAGATATTCTTCCTTTAAAATAACAATATGAATGCATTTTTCACCAATATCTTTTATAAGGCAACCCAACAATATTTATCAATACTTCATCCCACTTTCTAGAATAAGACAGACATTCAAATTAATTTCCCCTTTCAAAGTGTTGATGGCTTGTGAAATTAGACTCAGGTAGATAGCCTGGAAAAGTGTATTAGCCTCTCCCTGTCACTCAGACTTTCTGAATGAATAGACAGGCTTTCCTCTATTTAAAAAATGCTTGTATTTCATTTCAAAAGCATCAAATGTCTCTATAAAGAGAAAAATGGGAGTCAAGAGGATTGGTATTTTTCAAGTGGGGAGAACTCAGACTAGATTCTATGATTAAATGTAGAAACAACCCTCCAAAAAACTAGTTTATTAAAGCCATTAAGTTAGTATAACTACTTCATTTTGAAAAATAGCTACAGCAAAATCTAGTGTTCGGTTTATGCATTTATTTTTAGGTATTCTTTTTCCTTATGGAAAAAAGAACTTTGACATAGCTTTTTATTTATTTGTTTAGTATCAATATGAGTTGAGAAGAGACATGTTAAAATGCTGGAAAAAAATGTATACAAAAAATGAAATCAAGAGAGAAAATAGTTCATGATAGCAGGACCCCCTCCTGTTATACTGCAAGAATATGGATTCATATTTATTTTATAGTCTGCTTATCTTCATGCAAAAATAAAAGCAAATATGCAAAAATGGAGGTTATGAGATTTACTGATTATCATACACATAACTGGAAATTTGAAAAGCTGATATGTTATTTTATCAAAATGAATATTTTATAGAAAAACTAAAATGTCTTTAGTGAAGTATATCACAAGGTACCATAAAGAACTGTCATAAATGGACAGTATTCTCAAACCTATAATTTGCCCTAGTCCTAAACAATCCAGCTAAATAATTCTGTCCTTAAAACTGTGAACAATCAACCACAACCAAGTCTTTTCAGAAAAGCTTTTACACAATGTGTCCAAGTGAAAGGAGTAAAGCCAACTGTCAGTGCTAATTGCTTAGCAGGAATATTCTAACAAATTCAATTCAGATAAAATAATGAAAAATAAAATGATTAGTTATTAATTTAATTACTTTGGGTTCTCTCTAGCCTTGGAGATATTTTAGAAAGAGAAAACAAACAAATAAATGAATAGTAATTTTAAAAGAAGGAAATGAAACTAATGGCAAGTGAAATATTACCCTGTGGGATCAACAGACTTGTCTGCTGCTTCCTTTGTTCAGTCTAGCCTGTATACTCAACAGAACACATAAGGGTGTGGCTGGAACCTCATCTTGGGCTCTCTGATCTTCTCAGAGCTCAACAGCGGCAAGTCCATCGCTTTTGTTGGTCATGAAGGACATTGTCAACAACACTGTCTGGAATCTGCAAACCCCTGTGTATCAATAATTTCCAAAATAAACACCCCAAATAAAGGAGAATCACATATTGCCTGGTAATAATCTAGAGGATCTAAACACCTTATTTTCAGTGACTTTGTTTGTTTTGGATTATTCAAATCCTAGTAAAATGATTTAAATTCTCTTTGGTCATCTATTAATACCAACAATATTGATCAGGTGGGGTTCTGGGTGCCTAGTGACCATAAAAGACACTTAAAATGTTCAAGTAGTTTAATAATATCTTTCAGTTAAAGATATGACTTCAGATTAGTGGACTAAAAGGAGCTTATAAGACTTTTTCCCAGGCTTTGTCTCCTCCTGGCTAGATAAGTACTGCACACACATGTATGTGTGCTCACATACACACATGCACACACCCCTTTACATTGCAATTCTTCATTGAATAAATATCTACTGAGTATCTTTCATATGCCAGGTACAATCCTAGGTGCTAGGATGGAAAACAATTGAATAAGGAAAAGTCATTGCCACAAAGATTATAGTTGAGTTACTGCCTACTTCATTTTATAAGTTAATTAATTGAAAAAAATCATGATTCAACTTCATATATTAAATCAGATTTTCTAATCCAATTAAGCATCTCATTATAGAGCATATT
This sequence comes from Homo sapiens, assembly GCF_000001405.40. Taxonomy (NCBI): domain Eukaryota; kingdom Metazoa; phylum Chordata; class Mammalia; order Primates; family Hominidae; genus Homo; species Homo sapiens. Next base: position 57,363,795 of record NC_000010.11, read on the forward strand.
TACTAATAACTTGAGCATGTTGTCATTATCTTTTAATAATAACACTATCATCTACCATTATTTAATATTTTGAAGGAATAAGATACTGTGCTAAGGGTTTTATATAAAATATTCATTAATTCAGCAAACATGTATTAGTATCTATACCTTACTGGAAACTAGTATAGGCTAGGGCTTCCCATGCATTTCAAATAAAAAAGCTGATGCTTTAACCCAATAGTGGTGATTAACTCCAACTTTCATATTCAAATGACTAATAGAGGAGGTTCTCTATACTCCTACCTCCTTTACATTTTTTAACACACCATGAAATAATAAAACACAAAGAAACAGCAACTCCCAGAAAGCTCTACTAAGAATACTCTCTATCTCTTTCTATTTCATAGAAATTCAGTTACTGAAGCAAAAACCCACAAAAATAAAAATTTTACTTCAGATCCCAGCTTCTTGTGACCCATTGCTTGCTGTAAAGTATACATTTATTTTGCTGTCTATTTTTTTCTTTAAAATAATTTCAAATTTACAGAAAAGTTGTAAGAACAGAATATTATTTTTTATTGAACCATTTCATAGAACATTGAAGATGTGTTAGGCCTTTATTCCTGAACACTCAATTTGTATTTTCTATAACATGGACATTATCTTTAAGGCCAATACAAGCATAAAAATCAGAAAATTATTAATGACATGTTATAATCATCTAAAGCACAGATTATCTGAGCAGAAGTTTCTAAATTTTTTTTTTAATAAAAACTGACCAGCTCAAAAGTACATCAATTATAAAAGGAATTCTTGGCATTTAATGATAAAGCACAAATGCAACAATAATTTGAAGAGTTGGAAGACAAACGCAAGCTACTTACTCGGAATATAGAACCAAACAGACATGTAAATCAGAAAAGCAAAGATTAGAAAATCAGAGTCAACTCAGGAAATACAACATTCAAAAAATCTTGATGAAGGAGGCTTTCAGGGACAGTGATGAAACCCTTCCAATGAGACATTCAGAGACATGGTCCTGCCAAAGCTTCACTCACTGTTGGGAAAAGAACAAGTCCCCCTAAGTAAATGTTAAAATGACCTTTGGAAATGAAACACAGGTATGCTTATACAAAACATTCTTACGTAGTCAAGTGACTCTTCCATCTTCCCCACATACAGTAGAGATACAGAGACGAGGGATGGGAGCAGGGGCAAATCACTCGGTCAATCTTTATTTTGACTACCTAAGATTCAAATTGTCCTGAGGTAATGAATCTTTTTCCTGTGGATTGTGGGAACAGAGCTGCCACTTGTAATACAGCCTTAGAAGTAGGCAGGCGACAGGTGGATTATTATCTCTCAGACCTGCTACTTTAAAATAATTATACAAAATTAAAATAAAGCAAACAAACACCCTCCCCTAATATCTATCATACCATGTTATACAAGCTATATTTTGGATTACAATAGACCCTTGGATAAATAATACTTGAATATTCCTTCCTCTTGCATGGCCCACATGTGGTCAACATGTGACTTGCATTCCTCACCCTGCCATTGAAGAGTGGACAGCTAATACCCCAGTAGTCCACCAGAAGAGGCTGTTTTTGCTTTCTCAAGGGTAAGTCATTAGTCTACAGATGCCCTTGACTGCCGTGAGCACATAACAAGCAAGCTTTTGAAGGTTCCCATTGCAGAACCCACCAATAGTATTGGAGTTAGAAGATAACTCCCTCAGTTCTTTCAGTTGGTGGGATTTTATCAGAGGGCTCTGGGAGAGATTTCTTGAAAACAATAAAATTGATGAATTATATAAAATTATTTGAACTATTAAGAGACACATGCAACTGGGAGGCACTGAATTAGTGTTAGGTCAAAAAAAAACCTAAGCAAGTGAAAATATGTCTTTAATAATGCTAGAGAAAACAAAATATTGAAAGAAATATAAAACAATCCTTGTAGAGTACATGACTGAGCTGTAAATGCTATCATTTAGTCATAATATAATAAACATGAATATTCATTAGATCAAAATTATGATACACTATTTCAAGACGATGAGAGCACAAAAGTGGAGATATGTGTGATAAGGGCTGGAAAATGAAAGCTAAATTCTCATCTTCCATAGTGGGAAGCCAATAAATAAAGCCTATTAATAAAAAAATCAAGACACTGTAGTATAACCATGTTATTTAGAGATATAGAGAGATCTTAAAAGAATCAGGAAATATAGTTGCAAGTGGTTGCATCTGTGCAACAGGAACTGGGCTGGGAAAGAACATAGGAAATGGCTGTTTTTGTAGCAAAACTAATAGAACCATTTGACACCTTAAAGTACGTACATATGTAAGTTGTTTTATTAAAATAAAAAGTAAATTGAAAAATACTATACTGCATATGTTGAAATCTAAATGGCCCTACACATTTTATTTTTTAATGTACATTTTACATTTATTTGAGGTTAAGTTTGCTTCCCTGAGATATGTAAGCTTGACAGCAGTCTAGTTGGAACTTTAAGAATACAAAACTGAAAATATTTACTTTCCTGCAAATGGAAAAAAAATTGAGCTACTGACACTATAGTAAAGTAGAATGTTTACTTACTGATTACTTGCTGATTACAGAAACTATAATCACCACAATGGTAGTAATTTTAGCCAAAAGGACAGAAATCTTATGTAAATAACTCAGAATTGTACACGTAACAAGCCATTTATGAAATACTGAAAAAATATACGCATAGAAAAATATTATGGAAAGTTCACTGTCACCATTTTACAGTTAGCAGGATTATGAATAACCCTGAGAGATGCTGCACATCACAGCTGTGTCTTGCAATGTTTCTTTCAAAATTTTAACATTTACACCAAAACTAAGAGTTATAAGATCATTCATCATCAGTGACCTTTAACAAATTTGTCTGTGATGATTTGAAAATTTTTGATTTTATTTCCTCATGGAAACTACATTTGGATATTTTAATTTCAAGTTACAAATGTATTAATGGCTCAAAAACATATGTTGATAAGCTCAGGTGAGCCTATTATTATACTATTTTATCACATATTTGTTAATGGTGCCTGATTTACTTGATGAATGAAACTGTAAGTCTTGACCCAAATGAGTACCAATTAACATTTGTAATATGTAACTGGAAAAGGGAACTGACAGATTCTTGAGTGCCAGCGGTCTCAATTTGTCTAGGCTAGATTTAGTCCTAATAGACAGAAACCACATAGGATAAATGACATTCTTTGACTACTTTAACCTAAGCTTTTATTCTGCCTTTAGATTTTACCAAACAGATGGAAGAGTAAGGCGAAACTAGTAAAAAAAAAAAAATCCTGCTCAAAAATGCAGGAAATAAAATAAGAAAAGCTAGCCAAAGGTCTAGAGCAAAACTTGCCTAGGTCACCTGTGAGATTCCAAATGCAGCATGCATTGGCATGGGAGAAACCTCACACACAAATGTAACTCCCATGTAGTCTCTAATCTTAACTCCCATAATCAGCAATGTCAAAACTTCCCTTTCAGATTCTGCATTTGTGATCCATGAACCCTACCAATCATGGGTAGTATATCACTTTCTACGGGTATAGAAGTAGAAGTAGGAAAGGCAAACAAAATAAGGTGTGAGACTCTTTGCCTATCGTTGCCTGCAGGTATCTAATTTTGGAAAAAAAAATGAGAATACACATTCCAAGATGTTTTTGAATGATAACAATTATGGTGCAAGCGGAACCCTGGAAACCCTGAATTGTAGACCTATGAGCCCTGGTAATTTGTCATGGGAAATAAACAAACAAATTAAGAAAGAATGAGATTAATTCGCTGACAGTGCTGTTTCCAAAGCATGATATTGCAAGGCTTGAGCATTTTGGGGAGGTGGGTGGGGACAGCAAGGGAAGACAGGGTCTCACTCTGTCACTCAGGCTAGAGTGCAGTGGTGCAATCACAACTCACTGCAGCCTCGATCTCCTGGGATCAAGTGATCCTCCTGCCTCAACCTCCCGAGCACCTGGGACTATAGGCACTAACCACCATGCCCAGGTAATTAAAAAAAAAAAAGAAATTGTAGAGACAGGATCTCACTGTGTTGCCCAGGGTGGTCTTGAACTCCTAGGCTCAGGTGATCCTTCCACCTGTTCCTCCCAAAGTGCTAGAATTAGAGGAATGAACCACTGTGCCAGCCAAACCTGAGCATTTTATTTCAAATGCAATTTATACAATTTAAGACAAGGAAAAAGAAAACACAGTTAAACTTCAACAGAATTCTTAGAGGATCACCAATCTACCGATCGTGAAGACAGATCTCACACTATGCTCCAATCCTTCTCTCCACTATTTGCTTTTGACACTCCTTATACTAGATACCTTCTTGGAAATATCCTTGGCATTCCCCCAGAGCCTGCAATACATGCCTAGGTTAAAGCAGATGCTAAATGCACACACATACACACAACACACAACATAGACACTCAGGAAGAAAGATCAAAATAGGCCTTTTCAGACATAGATATTAAATTATCATACAAAAGATACTTCTACCTAGAAATGAGAAGTCAAAGTATTTCATTTAAAATTACAATTCATACATATATCACCAATCAATGGTAAGTTCATTCTGCATATAGATTGCAGTAAGAGTCCTGCCTGTATTCACAATCTTTGCACTACAACTTCACAGTTCCTCCCATAGAGAGTTGCTATTCACCTGCCCTTTAATTCTGAGTTTAGCCATAAGACTTGCTTTGGCTAAAGGGATGTTACCAAATGTGATTAAGCAGAGGCTTGTACAATTGGGCTTGTTATTTTCTCCTCTCATTATTGTGAAAAATTAAGATCATATGCATATTAGTTTACTGAAAGATAAGAGATAGAAAGCCCTGTCCTTGCCCTAGCTGAAAACTGCCAACTACAACTACTACTGCCAACAACTTCTAGTTTCCACATGGAAACAAGAAGAACCAACCAATTAAGACTGACGTAAATCACCAACTCTCAATCAGATCTGCAAGCCAAGCAAACGCTTATTGTTTCAAGCCATTGAGATCTGGAGTGGTGTGTTATGCAGTGTTAAACATAACACATAGCAATCTCTCTTTTGAGGACATTCATAAGAATATCACCGAAAATGCATGGAACTAGTTAATTAATGGTTAAAAAAGTCATAATAAAAAATATCAGGTCGTAGAGTTTGAAAAATATCACACTGAAATTCATGTAACTTGCAAAGCCATAGTTAGAAGTTTAAATTGACAAGAAGCAAATAAATATAAAAATAGATTCTTACATAAATAAAGCGCATTGTATTTGTTACCTGAAATTTACTTCTCGTGGCAAGAGGGACCCTGTTTTTATGAAACTATCCGTTGGTATTGGAAATGTTTAGATAAAACGTACAGCCATGCTATGATAAATGTATTGCATTTCTCAAACTGTTTGCTATTAAATGTGAAGACATCATTGTAGCAAACTCTATTTCCCAGTAAAGTTGAGACACGGATTGATAACATTTGCAATACATCGTCATCAATTCAAGGAAAGTCTTTTGCTCCTTATCAATCCTTTCTTGTGTTCTTGTTGTACTACATCTTCCATTCTCTTCCAGAGCTATTCTACAACTTCACTGTCTATTCAAGCCCCCTTTCTGATATTAATCATTTCACTCACCGACTTATAAGGCACTATGCTATTATTCTAGTTTTCTATTTCTACTACAATATTAATCATTTATAAATAGAAAAATATTTTAAACATTTTCAAAAATTCAAATTTTTGTGTTAAAGTGATTTGGTAATATACTGCATCCCTAAAGCACATCCAGGATAATACTGAAAAGAAAAAGAAACAAAATCATAAAAGCAGAAGATATTTTTATGAAATGCAACCATTAAAATACAATTAAGGAAAAAGAATAGTTAAAATAAGTATCTAGAACAATTAAGAAAACAAATCAAAATTGTAAGGAAAAAGTACTTGGAAAAGGATGATAAAACTAAATGAAGTAAGGAAGACAGATCTAGAAAGTTCCACATGGGTCTAATCTGAATACAGAAGGCACCCACCTCCTAAAACACCTCAATAACAAAAATTAATGAACAAAAAATGAATAGTAAGTAGAAAATAATGTCTTTAAATAAGCTCTCCAAAATAAAATAACATATACCAACATTATCATAGTAATACTAATAAAATTGATGAAACTTAATGTTGAGGCAATCACACAAAACAAATGGCAGAAAGGTAATGAGGGAGAAATGTGCTAAACATGGCTACATTTGTTTTGTTTCAGGCTAAACAAGATAAATTTTCTAAATATCATTGCATTGTTAAATATTTCTGGTTCATTATTTAGGATAATTTAATAAACTGAAGGGTGTGTTTAGTAGTGTCAAATTTCATAAAAAGTGCTTATTCCAAAGGAAAATTATAAATTGATTTTTGATCACTAGAAAGGATATATATTATGAGTCTTTAAAATTGTGTCTTTATAAGGAAAACAAATGTAAAACAAATAAACAAAAAAAAAATATTACCAGGACTGGGGCACAAAATATATACCAAGAGGGGAAGGAAAAACAATGTGAGAGAGAGAAGAGGAAAAAATCTTAAAACAATGGCTCATTTATTGACAATTTGAGCTGTGTTCCTAACAAAACAATAAAAAATACTAAATGTAAAACAAATACACTTGCAAAGGAATAAAAAAGAAGCTTATTTTAGTGCTGCAGAAGTTTTTCTAATCAGTTTCTGCAAATCATAATCTTGAAATCTATTATTTATTTTTGTGAGCCCTTAGCATTAAGTTAATATAAAGAGTGCCTGAAAAATACACTTTCTAATTAATTTGAGGGGTTACTCATTGTCAATGAAATATTTTTGACCTGAAATTGACAATACCTAGATTCCAGTCCATTTCTTTTTAACTAACTCATCATGTTAAGTTACGCAAGTCACCAAAACTCAGGATCATTATCTTCTCATCATTAATACAAGATAGTTACAATATGTTGCCGTATGGTTCCATTTTGAGAGCTTGATACATTATTGCAAACACTGTGATATGTGATGTACAGCCAGTTCTCTGTATCCACGGTTCTGCATCATCAGATTTAGCCAATGGTGAACCAAAAGTATTTAAGAAAAACATAACAATACAAATAATACAAATAAAAATACAGTATAACAACTGTACACAATTGTAATTGTGTACACAGCATTTACATTGTAAATACACAGCATTTACATTGTATTAGTCATTATAAGTCCATTAGTGATGATTAAAAGTATAGGGAAGAAATGCATAGCTTATATGCAAATACTATGTCATTTCATATAAGGGACTTGAGCATCCACTGATTTTGGTATCCACAGGGATCCTGGCACCAATCCCCTGCACATAACAAGGGATAACTGTATATAATCTTGATTAAATCCTATCAACAGTATTATTAGGAGAATTTTTTATCTCTGTTTTAAAGATAGGGAAACTGAGGCCAAGAGACATTAAGTAGCCTGCACAAAGGCACACAAATGCATCTTAGTATTCCAGTTTGCCTCAGCTATTATGCAGTACTGCATCCAGGTGGTTGTAATAAAACAGCTAATTTCTTATGAAGCGTGAAAGAACTCGTGGCATGATTAGTTAGACATGTTAATTGCTCACAATATATAATTTCAGGTGAATTAAAAGTAGTTTATTTCCATTAGCCACTGCCTCCCACTTTTCTTATGTCACCATTAGGGATGCATTACCTTGGGATATCAGATACCATTAAAATGGGAATTGAAATATGGCAGAAAGGTATGAATCATTAAATACTAGCTCATAACAATCAGCCAAGGATAAGACACAAGATAATAATCAGTAGACAGGAGTAAAAATATGAACAAACTTCAGAATATTCTCTAAAGCAAATTCCATCTACTTCACACATTATTAACACTTGACTGATGGAGTACAGTAGTTACTCTTTTTCAGTATTTGTAAAAACAAATCTAGAATCTCAGGTCAGGAAAAGGATACAGAGTTGAAGCCACTTTCAGACCAGATAAAAATGTTCAGAACTTCTGGTAGACAGAGTTATAGAAACCCATCTGTCTCTAAAAAATTATGTAAGGAGAAAAGTTAGCAATTCAAAAATGAGAAAGAAAACCGAGACTGTTTTATTCTAGGAAAACTGAACAACACCAGCAGCTACTCAGCTGCCAGAGCTGTTTCATCTTTTCAAATAGAGGATCCTACAAGAATTGGATAGCAACAATGAGAGAATGAAGACAGCTCCTACTCAGCTCAGTCCTTTCCACTTGGCCCCATAATCCCCGACAACCAGTGTGAGTTTGTGTCTATAGATAAAAATCATTTTGCCATCTGAGATCAAAGAAAAAAATGAGTTCATTCTGAGAATGGAATGTGTCGAAAGATTATTCGTACTCTTGGCACTAAAGATTAGTATCGTATGCTCTAACACTTCTTTCACAAAGGACGAATGAACGCAGAGATCATATGGAATTAGAAGAACCGGCATTCACTTGTAGGAAAAATGTTAATCAATGATCATAATAATGCTTATTAAGGAAAATAATTAATTTGTCTGGAGATTTTCAATTTCTGTCATTGTGCTACTTTATGAAGACTATCTTATTTAATATTCTCAACAACCTCATGAAGTAGACACTGCATTTTACACATGAAGAAGCTGAGAATAAGAGAAATTATGTGACATGACTAAAACAATTCAGATATGAAACAGTGAACCATGATTTGAAATTGTCTGAGTGCAAAGCTTTTGTTATTAATTACTAATTATGTAAACATTTTGAGTTTTATCAAGTTTTTTTGGATACGGCTCATACTATCATTTTCTAGATAGCATTTGTAAACAAATACTCTCTCATTCTCTCAAAGAATATACATAAAATATATAGAAATGAATGTATCTATGTATCATCTAGAAATTAATATAAACCTGGGGTCCTCAAAATAAAAAAATGATTATAATGAAAAAACTATATGAGTTTTTTTCTATATGAGTTTACAACTCATAAAAACTTATTATTACATGTTTAAACAGAATCTAGTTTGAGAAACTAAGAAGGATAAGTATGAAAAGCCCCTATCAGAGAAACATGAATTCTGCTAAAACTGAAGCAAGAACAAAAACAAAACTTATGAGGAAGCTTGGGTGGAAGAATGGTGAAATCATTGCTGCTTCATATAAAGTTTATAGAGGCAATGCCCCAAAGAAACCAGCAGTTTAAAAATTAGTGACTAATTTTAAGAACTGATGAGATGATGTTGAAGATGAAGCCCACAGTGATAGACCATTCACATCAATTTGTGAGGAAAAAATTAACCTGGTTCATGCCCTAATTGAAGAGAACCAACAACTAACAGCAGAAACAATAGCTAACACCATAGATAGCTCAACTAGTTCAGCTTAACAATTCTGACTAAAAAATTAAACTTGAGCAAGCTTTTCACAGAATGGGTGCTAAAACCACTGCACCTAGATTAGTTACAGACAAGAGCAGAGCTTTTGATGTAAATGTTTAAAAAATGGAATCAAGATCTTAAAGCATTTCTTCAACACCCGTAACAGGAGGCGAAACATGGCTTTACCAGTGTGATCCTGAAGACAAAACACAATGAAAGCAATGGGTACCAAAAGTTAGACATGGTCCACTTAAAACAAAAGAGGACCAGTCAAGAGCAAAGGTAATGGCAAGAGTTTTTTGGGGGCACTCAAGGCATTTTGCTTATTGACTTCCTGGAGGGCCAGAGAACAATAGTATCTGCTTATCACGAGAGTGTTTTGAGAAAGCTAGCCAAAGTTTTATCAGAAAGACACCCAGAAAAGCTTTACCAGAGAGTCCTTCTCCACCATGACAATGCTCTTGCTACTGCTCATTACTATTACCAAACAAGGACAACTTTGTAAGAGTTTTGATGGACAATCATTAGGCATCAACCTTACCGTTCTGGTTTGGATCCTCTGACTTCTTTTTGTTTCCTAATCTTAAACAATCTGTAAAGGGCACCCATTTCTCTCTAGTAAATAATGTAAAAAAATTTCATTGAGATGGTTAAATTCCTAGGACCATCAGCTCTTTAGGGATAAATGAAATGGCTTGTATCATCACTTACAAAAGTCTTGAATGTGATAGAGTTTGTTGAGAAATAAAGTATATATTTTTTGTTTTTATCTTTTAATTAAATTTTTCCATGAACTTTTTGAAGTCTCCTCATATGTGTGTATACATATACATATATCCCCTATAAATGAAGAAAATAACACCACAATGTCTTCATATACAAATATAATTTGTACCTAATTTTTTTATTATGAAAAAATGGAAAAGAAAGACAAAAAATAAAAACACTTGAGGTTAAATTCATTTTGAATGCCTACTTTTTAAAGTGCTATTTTCTATATAGGATTATGAAGCAAAAATTTCACTTTGTCCTGTGCTTACTAAGATTATTTATTAGGCCATGATGGATGCTGTCATACTCATAAAGTGTTCTTATAAAACACACAGCACAAGAAAACAGCTAAATAAAATGGTTCATAAAAACTATTTCCATACAGACAACTCAAAAAACAGAATTGCTGCTTGTAAAATTGTCTGAAAGTCTAAGCTGAGGACAGAGTCCAGATGGTAAAATGTATGGCCAATATGGTAACGCCTAATTATAAAGGAATAAAAACAAAAGGTCTCCAATAATTAGATGGTGATGCAGACTAGAGCATACACTGTGAGTAGGAGGGTTAAACAGAAGAGTTGCAGATCTAGATCTCAAGTAAGAAAAAGCAGACAGCAGCTATGGTGCAACTGAAAGTAACTTCACTGAAGATATGAGGGATACACCACCCCGGGCAAGTCTCTGTATTATCTCAATCTTAGTCTCTTCATCTGTGCAATGAAGACATCACCCTTTATCCTTTTGGGGTTATAGCTCTTCTGGAGAATCTAGTAGAAAACAATCCACATAGCCACAGAGATGTGATAGTTTATATAAAATCTGTAGTATTCCAGACCCTCATAAATGAGAATTCCTGAATTAAATGATCTTTATGGTCTTTCCCAGATTGCCCACCTTTTCACTTTTCTTTTTCTGACACAAAACAAAATTCACAGGCTAAGATTTGATCTATTTTTTATGCCTATTTTCAGAATCAGACACCATAACTAAATAATTAAATAACAAAACTGATAGTTTGACACCATATATGTATTTGTGTGTTTATGCATGTGATTTCAATGACTATTTTTTGCAAGTGAAATCCAAGTTATCTTGGGTTTTAGTTTACATATCACACTAACAACAACCCTCTAGTAATCAGTGACTATTTTTTTTTCCTTCAGGAGACTTCAGAGTGGCTAAATCTCTGACTGCAAATAGGCTTCATGCTTTCTAAACAATTCACGGGCAACTTAAAGCATTTCTTGATGAAAATGACAGTGGTAAGGGCAGCCAACATTGATCCCCTGCCAATGCTAGGAAAAACTCACTCTGGTTTCTCTACTCCTGGAACACTACAGGTTATATCATGCCTCTCTAGCTGTCTTAGTCTGTTTTCTGTTAACTGAATACCACAGATTGAGAATTTTTTAAAAATAGAGGTTTGTATAGCTAATGATTCTGGAGGGTGGAAAGTCCAAGATCATTGTGCCAGCATCTGCTGAGGGCTTTCCTGCTGTATCATGAACTGGTGGGAGGCATCGAATGATGAAACAGAACAAGTGTGCTAACTCAGGTTTCTCTTCTTCTCCTTATAAAGCCGTTAATCCAATCATGGGAGCCCAACCCTGGTATCCTCATCTAATCCTAATTGCCTCCCAAAGGCCCACCTCCAATCATCACATTGACTTAGGGATTAAATTTCCAACACATGAAATTTGAAGGACATTTAAACCATAGTGCTAGCCTCTGCGAGTACAGTTTTTGGAACACGAAAACACATATACATACACACACACACATAGGCACATAGAAAGAGAAGAGAAGAGAGAGAGAAAGAGAGAGAGAGAAGGAAGGAGAGAGAGAGAGAGAGGTGTCCTGTGCTTCTTTAGAGGGCCATACTTAGGCCCTGCTTTGGCCATGTCTGTCCTTAGGGATAAACCTGGAGCTTGTGCTGTCTTCCTTGCCTAATCCAGATATCCAGAACCAAAAATGCCCCTGCAAAACTGACCTTAAGTCCGTCTTCAGTGTCTGCTTGAGCCTCTTCCCAGGCCTGAAGGTTGGCCAAGAGTTGGCTATTTCCTTTAAGTGTGGATGGAGATTGAGCAGAGGCTGGAGTGTCCACCATGTGTAGAAGGTCACTGCAGCACAGAACAAAGGTTAAAGTGAGAAGAGAAAAGCAGGATTCTCTGCAGGCTAGCTGTGGAGGCCTGATCAGCCCAACGTGTCCCTGTTTCAAAAAAATGCTATGTCTGAGAATTATAAAGGTGAGCCTGGATATTAACATGGTTAATATTAACATGGTAAAGGTATAAGTGTGAAAATAATAGATTAGAATATATTTTTTAATTAGTTTACCTGCTTGGCATATAATGTTTAAATACATACAACTGTTATATGTACACCTCCATTTGTACCCTTGCCCCAGGACCACAATATTGCAGGTAAATTTATCCGTTGCTCTTCTCCAAGATCATCCCTTAACACCCAATTTGAAGACAAAGTCACCTGATTTAATCTCCTCAGAAGTAAAGTTGTCTGCTTCTCCCTCTACTACTTTCCACGCTCCCTGTATAGTACATACTCTATGTAACAAGTCCTATTAATGCAACCCTTGTTTGCAAATCAAGTTTACTTCTCAAATTACTTTTTGTGGTATGAGTTTTTAAAGCCTCATTTAGAAGTAAAGACTAGACATAAATGAGGAACTAAGTGGTTCTTTTTATAATGTCAATCTTTTGGAAAACTAAAACATAGTTTTTCCAGATTGAGAACATGTTGGTAACATTACTAGGAAAAGGTAGGAATATTAAAAAATTAAGTCAGTCGTCATTTTCTTTACTACCTTATCTTCCTCACCACTCCAAAAAACATAAATATTATATGGCAGAAAACCAAATAAATGATTTAGAATAAGAGATGTGTTCGCAAAAATTTGCTATGAATTATAATACAACGTATGTTATTTCACTATATAGGAAAAATGCCTTTTTAGAAAAATGGCTCTGAAGTTTTGAAAAAGTTTTTTCTAAACATGAAAGTACGATGACATTATTGACAAAATGACCATGACTTATTTTTAAAACACCAATAGCAAAGGAAGAAGGTCAAGGGTATAGTCGTATCTTCTAAAATTCAGAAATAAATTTTGAAAAATAATTTGAAGATACAACAGCACAATTCTCTCGCTGATTTTCTTTCTTTCTTTTTTTGTTTGTTTGTTTGTTTTTTGAGAAGGAGTCTCGCTCTGTCGCCCAGGCTGGAGTGCAGTGGCGCTGTCTCCGCTCACTGCAAGCTCTACCTCCCAGGTTCAAGCCTTTCTCATGCCTCAGCCTCCCGAGTAGCTGGGACTACAGGCGCCCGCCACCACGCCAGGCTAATTTTTTTGTATTTTTAGTAGAGACAGGGTTTCACCGTGTTAGCCAGGATGGTCTCAATCTCCTGACGTCGTAATCCACCCGACTCGGCCTCCCAAAGTGCTGGGATTACAGGCGTGAGCCACAGCGCCTGGCTGTTCTGTCACTGATTTTAATGAGAGTCTGTGAATATTGTGACAAACTTCCCCAGTGGAAGTAAGCAGAGAAAATATCTGCAAATTCAAATTGGTTGCATTGGAGTTTAAATAAATGTAGATTTGGGGGAGTCAATTTTGTCAAAGCACAAAATTTGAAAGGAGACCACACTTCCAAGATCCAATACAAAAGGGAGGTGCAGGCAAAAGAGATTCAGGCAAGCTAAGGTCTATAGTGGCCTAAGCAACGTTAACATATATAATAGAAAAGGACACCTTGAGAGTTAATTTAAATATGATCATAAAGGAGGGAATAGTCTTTATTCCATGTCATTAGAGAGAAAGAAAGAGGGCCAAGGGGTTCAGTCTCCAGGAAAGAAAATCTGAGCTTAATGAAAAACCAGTGTTTTTTCTCTCTGCTAAGACAGCAAGTCAGCTAAGGGATTTTGAACATCAATGTCTGGATGACCACCTGACAAGACTATCACATGGGTGGCTTTCCACTGGTGGGGAGTTAAACAACACAACGTTCATAGGTCATTTTCAATTAAAATATGCCGTGCAACTAACATTTATTTATTGATATATTTGAAATCACACACACACATACAAACACACACACACAGACACGAAATTTTAATGGCATTCAAAGTTATATTTTTTCAATGTTATTTATCACATAAAAGGTCTTATATCAGTTATCTATTCTGACAATAATGCTTGCAACAGAAAAATATCTTTAAAAATTCAGTGGCCTGCAACAACAAATATTGAATTAGCTCATGTGTTTGTGAAATTCCTCTGACCTGGGCTGGATTCAAACAGTCTCAGTGGGACTCACTCACATATCTGGCAATCACCTGGCTGACAACTAACCTAGGATGCCCTGAGCTCGTGTGGTTAGAGTAGCTTCGCTCTACTTCACTCTAGCAAGCTCTAAGAGATCCTGGAAGGGAACCCAGGCCTGTTTTCTAAGACTCTAGAAGGCTTGCCCACATATGTGCTTATGGCCAAGATAGAGGATCAGGAGCACAGGTTGAAATATGCAAATAATTTTGTAATCTTTTTCTGTGTGTCATACATTAGTACATCTTAGTGCCCAAATCAAGACATGTGGCTAGCATAAATTTCATAGTGGGAAGCCACAAGAATCTTATATCACAATGGATGTGCATAAAAAGAAGCTGAAGAATTGGGTTTATTAGATGCAATCTATGTACCACACATCTAAAATTTCCAAAGAATGACAAATAAGTACCATGAAGCACATTAACAAAATGTGTTCATACTTTTTCTGATGTATTTAGTTCCTTTTTGTAAAGAAAATATTAATTGTAAAGAAAGCCATATGGATTAATAAGGATTAATAATAATTTCTATATTCAGATATTAAGTAAATGTTTACACAAATATTTATATTCAAACATGCATTGGTGCATGCGTAAGTATATGTAGGAAATAACTCCTATTAGAATAGCCAAAGGTAAAAAGAAAAAGAAAAATCAATACCAAGTGCGAATGGAGCTAGAATTTATGTAGAAACCCCATCCCTCAAGGAGATGGCACTTAACTCTCCACCTTTTGAGGGTAGATTATGTTTATTAAAGAATAGGTTATAGAAAGAATGATTGTCATATGCAGAAGAATGAAACTGGACCCCTATCTCTTACCATATACAAAAATCAACTCAAGATTTATCAAATACTTAAAGGTAAGACCTGAAAATATAAAAATACTGGAAGGAAACCTAGGGGAAACTCTTCTGGATATTGGTCTAAGCAAATAATTCATGACTAAGTCCCCAAAAGCACAAGCAAAAAAACAAGAATAGATAAGTCATACTTAATTAAACTAAAAACCTTCTGCACAGCAAAAGAAATAACCAACAGAGTGAACAGACAACCACAGAATAGGAGGAAATATTTGCAAACTATACATCCAACAGAGTACTGATATCCAGAATTTACAAGGAACTCAAACAACAACAAAAACAACCCCATTATAAAGTAGGCAATGGACATGAATAAACATTTTTCAAAGATGACACACAAATGGCCAACTACAATATGAAAAAAAAGTCCAACACCACTAATTATAGAAATGCAAATTGAATTCATAATGAAATATCATCTTATACCATCAGAGTGGCTGTTATTAAAAAGTCAAATAATAACAAATGTTGGAAATAATGTAGAGAAAGGGTAATGCTTATACATTCTTGGCGGGGATGAAAATTAGTACAGCCTCTATGGAAAACCGTATGGATATTTCTCAAAGAACTAAAAGTAGAACTACCATTTGACCCAGCAACCCTGCTGCTGAGTACCCAAAGGAAAAGAAATCATCATATATACAAGATACCTGCCCTCATATGTTTATAGCAACACTATTCATAATAGCAAAGAAATGAAATCAACCTAAGTGTCCAACAACAGATAATTGGATAAAGAAAATGTGATACACACACACATGCACACACACACATACACACACACGTATACTGGAATACTATTCAGCCATAAAGAAGAATGAAATTATGTCTTCACAGCAATGTGGATGGACCTGGAGGCCTTTATCTCAAGTGAAACAACTCAGAAACAAAATCAAATACCATATTCTGACATATAAGTGGAGGCTAAATAATAGACATACATGGACATCTATTGTGGAATAATAGACATTGGAGACTGAGAAGGGCGGGAGGCAAGTGATGGATAAAAAATTAATTATTCAGGTGATGCATTACACTAAAAGCCCGACCTCACCACTATGCAATATATTCATGTAGCAAAAATACACTTGTACCCCTTAAATTTATACAAAGAAAAAAAAAGAATGAAAAAAACAAACCAAACCAAACCAAATCAAACAAACAAAACTTGTAGTGAAGAACCTGGCAACCACTACCCTGGCCCAGTGATCATGCCTAACATCACCAGTGATAAGTCATGTTGGTAGCATGTATTCTTGATGTGATGTGATGACACTTCACTGCTGTGGTCTTCCTCCCCCAAATCTATGTTTCCTGTCTTATGATGAAAAAACAAAGTTAGACAAATTTAAATTAAATAACATTCTAAGAATTATCTACCAGTAATCTTCAAAACTGCCAAAGTCATCAAAAACAAAGAAAATCTGAGAAACTGTCACAGTTAAGAGGAGCCTAAGGAGACATTACTAAATATACTGAGGTATCCCAGATAGGATTCTGGAAGAGGAAAAAAAGTCACTATGAGAGAAAAAACAATAAAATCTGAATTAAGAAGAATGGAGTTTGGATAATAGTAATATACCATTTATAAATTGGATATAATCTACATGGCATGTATGAATCAGTGTTATGAAGAGAATGAAAGAGAATGATAGCATCTATATTCTCCACAACTGATATTAATTTATATGCATTTTCATAAGCATGAGTAGAGTACTAAGGCAGATAAATTAACATGAAATGACCAAAAAAAAAAAAAAAAAAAAAAACCCTTGAAGGCGCCTGCAATTATTCAGTGTAATCATGTTTAGGGGGCAAGTTTTTGGCAGAAAATTGACATATTGAGTGTGGAACACACGATCTTTAAATGAGACTTTGAATATGTTTTATAAATAAAAACAAAAAGTTTGGCTCTGCTTCACTCTAGCAAGCTCTAACAGATCCTGGAAGACAACCCAGGCCTGTTTTCTAAGACTCTAGAAGGCTTGCCCAGATACGTGCTTATGGCACCGCCATGGTAAGACGTGCTTTCTTCCCCTTTACCTTCTGCCATGATTGTAAGTTTCCTGAGGCCTTCTAGCCATGCTTCCTGTACGGCCTGTGGAACTGTGAGTCAATTAAACCTCTTTTCTTCACAAACTACTCAGTCTCGGGTAGTTCTTCATAGCAATATGAGAATGAACTAATACATGTATTATAAAGGATTTTACTAAATTTTATAACTAATACAATTACAACGTCCTTCAAAGTCCTCAATCACCAGTTATAGTCTATAGTCTACTGACAGTGCTAGTCTATGTCAGCAGGGAGTGAGGTGGGGGAGGTGAGGTAAAGGTATTATCAAACAAAGGATTGAGCTTGCTGTGTAACTTAAACTGTTTGCTTTAAGCGGTCCTGTTTCATTCTTGTGATCTCCTTTATTTGATGGCACCCAAGATCTCTCATACACAATAATAAATTCAGTGTTTACTAGAAAACTTAGCACCCCAATCCAAACTTCAGAAATGATATTGCATACATTATTCAATTTTTATGTCTATAGCTTTCACCTAAATGGGCAGTTATTGTAGCAAGATCTGGAAGATGATTTAACTGTTATAGTCCATCTTACCTGATTGTACAAAAAAAAAAAAAAAAACAAAACAAAAAGAGAAACCATTATAGAAATACAAGGTCTTCAGAGTTTTTGTACTCTATCAGATAGATCGTAATGGTATTATTTTATTTTTTATGTTATTTTTATTTGTTTTTGAGATGGAGTCTCCCTCTGTCCCCCAGGCTGGAGTGCAGTGGCTTGATCTCGGCTCACTGCAAACTCCGCCTCCCGGGTTCATACCATTCTCCTGCCTCAGCCTCCTGAGTAGCTGGGACTACAGGCACCCGCCACCACACCCAGCTAATCTTTGGTAATTTTAGTAGAGACGGTGTTTCACCATGTTAGCCAGGATGGTCTCGATCTACTGACCTTGTGATCCTCCCACCTAGGCCTCCCAAAGCGCTGGTATTACAGGCATGAGCCACCACGCCCAGCCTGTAGTGGTATTTTAATATTTGACTTCTCTTTCATAATTCACATGAAAAGTAAGTCCCTGCAAAATAATTTATTTTGTGCCCCTAAGACAACTTTGGCCAAATAATAGGTAAAAATAGGTATAAAAGGTAACTAATCACCTTTCACAGTATAAACATATGATATTACCATGGAACTTAAGAATTAAAGTTTTGTGTAAACTTTTTTTTTTTTTCTGAGACAGAATCTTGCTCTTGTCGCCCAGGCTGGAGTGCAATGGCATGATCTCAGCTCACTGCAACTGCCTCCTCCTGGGTTTAAGCAATTCTCCTGCCTCAGCCTCCTGAGTAGCTGGATTACAGGCACCTGCCACCATGCCCGACCAATTTTTGTATTTTTAGTAGAGATGGGGTTTTGCCATATTGTCCAGGCTGGTCTCGAATTCCTGACCTCGTGATCCACCCGCCTTGGCCTCCCAAAGTGCTGGGATTACAGGTGTGAGCTACCGTGCCTGGCCTTGTGTAAACTTTTGAATCTGAATATAGCATTCTGCCCTACGACAAGGGATTCCTTTGTAATGATTTCATTTTACTGAAACTATTCGCGTACCATTTTAAAGTAACCTTGTTAGACAGTTTATATAACCTTGTTATATAACATTGTTATCATTGCCCTATGAACAGCACAAAACATAAAACAGCTTGTTTGCACATGAAAAATTTGATTTGAGTTGTATTTAAAAGAATTTATCATTTTCACTTTTGAATAAATAATTTTTCTGATTTAAGAGAATTTGGGGATGCTTTATTAAGACTAATAGTGTACAGCCTGACTTTGTGTTGATGCAAATAATAAAAATAAAAAGAGCAAATATAACACATTTTTATTTAAATGTGAAAAAACCCCAGCTTTCTGTTTATATTTAGAGGTTTAGATAAGGGTGACTAATTTTTAGAAAAGACATTATGTCAACATAATACTTAGATACAGGAGTCAAATTAATGAGCAGATACTAAAGCCATTGACAAGTGCATTGTTTATAATAACTTTGTAAAAGTTAAAATTTTGCTTTTCTTACCAAGTATTTTAAAACTTAAACATTCTCAGAAAAGGAAAATGACAAGTCAAATTTTTGGCAAATTGTAGATAGCCTAGAAAACTAACTTAGATATTTTCAAATAGTGTACAACTTTTACTGAATTTTAGAATATCAAAGAATAATGTCAAGAATGATGCATGTAGACAGACTTAATATAGAAGCACAAAATTAAAAACCAAGCAAACAACAAATGTATAAGTCATGCTACAAGGTGCTAAGAGCAATTAAGATAAAAAATCTGACATAATGCCAACTAACTTCAAGGCAGTTCTTACTTGGTTTCGGAGAAGAAAGACTAACATGTTGAAAAGATAAATCTCAGTCAAAAATTAATGTAATGTATATGACATGGGAGTATATTATTTCAATTTGGGCCAGAATCATTTTAAATACTACTAACAAATAGTAAGACCAGGCAGATTCATGCTAAATTAAAAAGAAAATACAACTTAAAAGGTCACTAGCTCTTTTGTCAGTTTATCCAAATGAGAACCTTACCATGAACCTTTCATGTGA
The DNA here is from genome assembly GCF_000001405.40 of Homo sapiens. Lineage (NCBI taxonomy): Eukaryota > Metazoa > Chordata > Mammalia > Primates > Hominidae > Homo > Homo sapiens. Next base: position 57,383,813 of record NC_000010.11, read on the forward strand.
TACATAAACTTAAGGTAGGCATGACTCTAAGTATAAAGGTAATTAATAAAAATAAGTAAACAATTGGAATTGAATGTTATCACAGAATCTGTCTTTTCCCAAATAACTTATCCAAATACATAATGATGAATGTTTGCATTTAGCTTGACGTCTTATAAGCCAAATGCAAGGTGATTTGGAGATCTATTTTTTTAATGTGTATCATCTCCCTCATTCACACCCCACCCCTGCCAAATATATGCCATCCTGTGTATTAGTTTTCTATTGTTGCAGTAACACATACCCACAAACAATGGTTTAAAAAACAACACAGATTTACATTTTATAATTCTGTAGGTCAGAAGTCCACCAAGCTAAGATCAAGGTGTCAACAGATTATATTCCTTTCTACAGGCTCTATAGGACTATTTCTTGTTTATTCAGATCACTGGCAGAATTCAGTCCCTTGTGATTGTAGGGACAAGGTCCCTATTTTCTTGCTGGTCATAAACTGAGATGCATTTCTAGCTCCTAGAGGCCACCGCATTTCTTGGCTCATGGGCCCTTTCCTTCATCTTCAAAAGAAGCAATGGATAATCAAGTCTTTCTCATGTTCCATCTCTCTGACAAGCCCTTCTGCCCACAGTTTCCACTTTTAAAAACTCATGTGATTATATTGGGAGGACATAGGTAATCCAAGATAATCTCCCCAATTTAAGGTCCATGCCTTCATTTTAATTTCTAACCCTAAAATTCATTTTTGCCACATAATATAACATAGACACAAGCTCTCAAGATTAGAAATAAATGCCATTTCTTGTATTTTCAGGGTTGTCTCTTCAACCATAGATCTGATTTTCATCACTGTGGTTTGTGAAGATTTCTCACTTGTGTTTATCTTGTCTATACCTCTCTACATTCTACTACATTCTAAGTAAGGCTCTCCTTCTGCACAGTGAATAATTTATTAAGTCAATGGGTGGGAATTCATATTCCCTCCTCTAGTAAACACATTAATTGTCTAACAAAAGGAAACCTATCAATCCCAAGTTATAACTTAAAAATGTGTGCACTGTTGAAACCTTCGTAAAATCATGCAACCAAGATTGCAAGCCACAGGGTTTTTGAGTAGCCATTAATTCATACAACATACTCAGCTGCCTGTGAATACTGGACTAATCAAGCTCTTTAGTATTCCTGGGTCTTGAATTTCTAAGACAAGATTTTCTGTACTTTATTGTGAGAATAAAAGTATATACTGAGATTGTATTATCTTGGAGTGGAGACACGTTTTTGGTTCTCCCCAGTGAGGAGTAATTTGATCTCATGATACTATATGCTTCTATCTTTCTTCTATTTTTTGTTCTTTGTTTATATTTTAGAGGAGGTTTGTATTTTAGGCTTCTTTTTGTTGTTGTTATGAAACTTGCATCCAGTAATATTAGAACTTAAATATTAGGTTAAAACAAAGTTCTCAATTTTTTGGAAAGCAAGAGTAGTATATATAATTTCTTTAGTAAAAGGACAAAGGAAAAAGTTAAGGAAAATAATTTAGTCTGATTTACTTATAAAGTATGGAGACTTAATAACTGACTTTTACCACACTACTTATCCACAATATCTACAAACACTCCCTATGCTTCAGAAATGCAAAAAAAAAAAAAATTACTTTGAAGTGCTATTTTCTACTTTCTTTTCCACTCTCTCTTCAATTTCATTCCTCTGAAATAAGCTGGTGTTTTGGATATTTTCTATTTTGAAATAGTAATGCATTTTTGAAAATCAAATAGTAGTAATAAAATCCCCACTAGCATTGCTAGTCAACCTGAGAACTCAAAATTAAATTCTTCTGCACATTGCCGCTATAAAATTTACCGTCAGAACTTTAGAAATGTGCTTATGATGCACAAAAGAAAAATGAAATCTATTTTGGAGGGGGAAATAAATGAGCTCTCTGCAATGGGCAGACTCAGTCCCCAAGCAATAGCCTTGAGTCGATAAAGGACTGAATATTTGGAATCAGGACATATATAATATCAAGAGGAAGGGCCATGTTATCAGTATAAATTTTGCCAGCTCCAATATAGTATATACTCTTTTGTTAATCTCACATTAATCAGTCTATTGACAATTGTTATTCAGGAACAAATAAATAAAAGTATATAATAGTTGGATTACCAGCACAATGTAGGCTTAGACATGTTCCACAGAGGATAAGTCAATTATTAATATTTCACTTCTTTGTTTTTCACGCTGATTTCAAGGAAGGATACAAGATATACAATATATTATACATCTTAATTCAATAATCACCTTTGAAAATACACATACAAAATGAAATCCAACTTATAAATATTTAGAAATAATAAATGTTTGTGAAATTCAGTTTTCCATGTTGCTTTTGGTTAAGAAAGTAAAATATAGTAGAAATTGATGGAAAAGTGTACATAAGGGAAAAATAAAAGTGTATTAGAGAGAAATAAAAAGGGATGAAAAACAGGGAACTAGAAATAAAATCAGTCTTTATATTATAGTTTGAATGTTTAGAATCTCCTTGTAATCTTCAATGGTCAGGACTAAAGACTAATACTTATTTACCAGAGGCATTTGCAAATATTTTGTGCCAGGAATGAGTCTCTAAAATACTTGCTTAGACATTTATGTGTTACACAGAGACCAAAAGAAAAAAAATAAAATATATGATTTTTTCCATTATTCATCCATTCACCCATGTGTCTGTGTGTCTATCCATCTATTACTTTCTAAAGTTCCATTAGAGTGTTTTCAGAGAGTGGATAAATGACTACCTGGCTTATTTTTTTTACAAAGCCTGTGTGCTTCTTTAAATTTGTTTTCTCGGCCATTTGGCACTCTTTGATAAATAGTAGTTACTGTGCTTAGAGGACAAGCAAGGTATAAAGCCAAGCCTGTAAGACTCTAAATCTCATGCTCAAAATCATTATATTTCTCTTTAGAAAAAAAAAATCTGTGACTTTCAGCATGTTACTTAATCTGTCTATGCCTCAATTTCCTTTTTTTTTTTTTTTTTTTTTTGTAAAACAATTAGTTTTAGTATCTGCCTCATAAGGTCCTTGTGAAGATTAAATCGTATTATACCAGTAAAGTCCCTAGGTCAGAGTTTGGCCTGTATCAGGTGTTCAATAATTGTTAACATTTATTTTTATTACCTTAATTCATATTCATAGCTAAGTCAATCATAGTCATTCCTCATAGTCACAGTCATAGTGGCCTCAATGAATAAAAACTCAAGTTCTTTCAGATTTTCAAACTGTTACTGTGTTTTTATAACTCTCAGAGAAACAGAACCTATAGAATATATGAGAGATTTATTGTGGGAATTGGCTCACACAATAATGGAGACTCAGAAGCCCAAGGGTATGGCTGTCTATTACCTGGGCAACCAGGAGACTGGTGGTGTAACTCCCAGTCCCAGGCTGAAGGCTTGAAAATTCTAGTGCCCCACCCCCACCCCCCCACAGCTGATATAAGTCACAGAGTCCGCTGGTCTGAGAACCATGAGCTCTGATGTTGGAGCACAGAAGATGGATGTCCCACCTCAAGAAGAAAGAATGTGCCCTTCCTCTGCCTCTTTGTTCTATTTGGGCCCTCAGTGGGTTGGATGATAATGGCCTATATTGGTGAAGGTAGATTTTCTGTACTCGTTTTACTGATTCAAATGCTAATCTCTTCTGGAAACAGCCTCACAGATACAATGTATTACCAACTATCTAAGCATCCCTTAGCCCAGGCAAGTTGATACATAAAATTAACCACCAAAATAACCAAGTTAAGGGTTCTGCTTCATAGCACTGAGGGTCTTGACAAATTCTGTTGGTACCTCTACTTATTAAACCCCACTGAATAAAGACCATCAGGGATACATTGGCAGCAAAGTTAGTTTTACTGGCTTACAAGATAGAAAGCAGCCTGGCAGAATTGTGAGCATCTCAAAAAGAAAGTGTTAAAAAATAACCTTAGAGGATTTGGGGGTTACAATTAGTCACACAGTTTTCTCAGGCTTTAGTCATCATTTGTAAGCTAAGTGATTTGCTGGAATAGTAAATGTTCTTATCTTTAGAACACATGACCTCATGCCAAATTACTGTTACATTGGTTTATCTGGTGTCTTGTCATTAATTTATGAGAATTTTTTAATGTTTTTGTTTAGTGTGCCTTGTATGTTTGGGTTTGGTAGTTTCTCTATTCTGTGTCTCACAGGAATGTTTTACAAATTGTGATTTATATTCCATTCAAAGTTCTTCCATCACAGCCTATTTGCCAATGGGGCCATTTTTCACATCACCAGCAATTAGTTTTGAAACTTACAGTAGTTCTGGTGAGAAATAATTGTGGCTTATAGCAAGATATCGTAAGTAGAAATCAAAATAAATTGCTAAATGTGAGGAGTTTCTATGAGGCAGAACTATCATGTTTTGGTGATTGATGAAAAGCCAGGGCTAAGGGAAAAAGACATATCAAAAATGCCTGCTAGATGTCTAAATCACAAAACTTTCTAGCAAATATGCACCTACAAATATAGAGCAAGATACACATCCACCACAACAAGTACAATGCTACATCACATTCAATTGAAATATTAATATTAAGCAGAATGGAACATCAGATGAAATTACAAAATATTACATAACCTATTGAGCCCCTTTAATAGCATTAAGATTACTGCAATGTTAAGCAAGAACATCACTGAAAAAAACAATAATAATGAGTAGTTTCTCCATATAGTTGAGAAATTGCATTTATTTTACTAGAATCTTAGATTTTCAGAGTGACCTATTTTGCCTTTGATGAAATGATCTGAACTCAAATGTTTTATTTAACTTTTAACAATTCCATTGAATTTGATCATTTTAGTGGAAGATATTTTAAGAATACACTAACTTTATTCACGTAAAAATTATTCCTCTTCATTGAGTAGCTGCTCTTTCATTCTTTATGCCTCACATTCACACACAAGAGAACACACTTAAACAATGCTTAGCATATGGTGTGTGTTTATAATATTCACATATTTACAGGGAAGTGGAAAATCAAAGGCTTCTTATAAGCACAAATAAAAACAATAAAAAGATAAAATGCAGCTTAAAATTAGAACTCTATTAAAAGGTCCAGCTAAGGTCTAGAAAATACTTATACTGTGGCATTGGTGTATAAGCTAATTGGAGAGCCATGCTGGTTTCAAGTATGTGTGAAGTCTGCTCCGAAAGGGCAGCTTTGATCATGATTGTGTCTTTCTTATCTGATCAAGTAATTAAAGTTTTATAATGCAAGCTGGAAAAGTACAACAATGGCAGACTCTTCCCAAATATGTTTTAAAAAAAATCTATCACGGTCTACTGATCACCTATCCCAGATTATCTGTTTGGAATATTACGCTTCAGGCCAGGTGCAGAGGCTCATGCCTGTAATACCAGCACTTTGGGAAGCCGAGGCAGCAGTATTTTTGAACCCATGAGTTCTAGACTAACCTGAGCAACATAGAGAGACCTCCTGTCATGAGTCATCACCCTCTTCACTTTAGGATGTCACCTTCTTCTCTCCATGGTAGGGTTAAAGACTTCCTAGGTGCTTTCAGGACACCAGATTAGAGGCATTCTGTTTTCACTTTTAAATATATTTAGAGTAATATCATTTGTCACTTGATGTTACCCTAAATACATCATAAGCAATCTGAAAATAAATAAAAGTTTAACAATATATCTTATTTAAAAAATTATTTTGTTTCCTTGAAGCAAAAAATGAGGACCAGAAAACACTCTAAAAAGACTTTTGAAATGTCAGCAAAAAGGTTTGGTATTTTTGTGAATGCACACACATAAAAAATTGGAGTTTATACGTCATAACTGCTAGTAGACACAAGTTCATGTAAAGCAAGCTTACGGATTCTGGCCCAACAACAACTAGAGAAATAAACGAATAATAAGAAGGCTATACCAAAAATGTAACACAAAATGAAATTGTGCATCATTATGGTGTGCTCTTCAATTACAGCAAATAAAACTTTTCACAGATGGAGACAATAATACTATTTGGTTGTCTTCTGAACTGACATAGAAACATATTACCAACATATTGTCAGGTTAACATTACATTCCAAGTTTTTCTCCACAAAAACTACGCTCTAGCTTTGTGTGGTGCTGTCTTAGAGTTGCGATTACAGCCTCCAGGGATAAGTCTATCTGCTATGGTAATATCCTGCCTGGAGTCTCATCAGCAAAAGTTGAATCAATCTTCAGCAATCTTCGGCACATTTTATGAATAATAGGAGATGTGTCATATTCTGCCCTGGTAGGTTGTTTTCTGAAATTGTAGATATTTTTCAAGAGATTGGAACACCAATGTGCTATACTTATTTAACTTCCATATGGTAAGATAATTTTAAAAAAAGATGGGTCTGTAAACACAGAGGACATTGTACATCATTATTATTTCTGGTTTTTATTCTCCATACAAATATCATACTCCAAATAAAATGAAGAGATTTGCTAGTTATGGATCATTACAAGAGTTATTTTGCTGGTAAAAGCAGTTGATGGCCAAAACAAACGTTTTATTACATACTGAAGATTAAATATATGGAAATACATTCATCACAATGAGATTCTTTCTTCAGAATGACATGATTAAGGTGAATTATGGATGGAGATAATTAAATAAATCTACTTTCATGTTACAAATTGAAACTAAAACAAGAATCAGACATCTCAAGTGTCTTTATTATCCTCTATAACAAATTAGACTTTACAAGATACAATATGTGTTTTTTCAGAATGGATTTATCCTGCAATAACTTTGCTGGTCAATTGCTTTACACAATGACTTGGATCCAGTTTCATTATAAAATAAAATTGTCAAAAACTTAACTAGAAATACCATATCTATACTGAATATATCAGTCAGAATTAATATAATTTCTGTTAATATTTTGGATATATATACACAGTATATATAATACTGTAGTCTATGTATTTCTTCTTATTATTATCATCCAATCTACTAATTTAGCTTGGATCATTCCCATTCTAGAATTTTTGATGTTGTAGTTGATTTTTTCAAAATTATTTTATTTTGTATTTTGAGAGTTTCCAATTATTTAGTTTTCTTCATCCTTCTTATTTTGTTGTGTTATTTTTTATTTTGTGATTTCTTGTTTCCGCTTATGCACATAAATGTTCTCCATGTTTTTGAGGACTTAAGTGTAATTGTTTTTAAATTATTCAAAATTTTCATTATTATTTTTATTTTGAAAAGTGAATTAATTTACAGAATGTTACTGTATAGGTTAGCTTCCTTTGTTCACCTATGTATTTAGAATTTTAGTTTCTAGGCTCTGTATTGACCTTGATTATCAGCCTTCTCTTTTCACTAGTCCTTTTTCAGTTTTCTCCCCCTTCCTTCCAGAAGCTCATGTCTAAACCAAGTCTTATGCAGATGGCTCCAAAATGCTGCCCCAATGCAATAGTGGCTGGGCTAGATTCTTGGGCAAGCAACACGAAATATTGCATTGGATTGCTAATTTAGATGAGCCCCTTCCTTGGTTTAATGCTCTTCTGTCTTGGTCTTGGTATTGTTAATAATGTTATCTTTAAACTTGTGTTTGTCAGTGAAATCTGAAGGGACAATGGAGCATGCATTTGAGCAGACTTATGTACAATATGCATGTCTCTGTTGCTTGATGCCCATGCACATAGAGCCTTCCTGGTGTCCCATAAGCACAGAGTCCCTGTGTGCTCTCAGTAAGTGGTAGTTCCAAAAAATTCAATACAAGTACAGGGTAAATGTGTTCTGTTCAGGCAGAGCTGTTAATAGCGCCGAGAGGCGATAATTTCTGTTCCAACAAAAACTGGCTGCACACACAGAAAGAAGGCTACAGATTTCTAAGAAACATGAACAACCAAAGAGTCCTATCATATCATTTCTTACTCAGAAGTTTCTTTCCTATATTAGCCGACCACTTATGCTGAAAATGAAGGCAGGGAAGAGAAACATAAGACAGCTCATAGTCTCTTCTCCATTTGATCCTTATATACCCATTGGTAAGTAATAGGTAGAGAGTGTTGGTAGAATGTGTGTATATTGATACGATAAATAGAAAAGTTGAGTTAGTTTTGTGCAGTGTTTCTACTGCACAAAATATATGTTGGTAGTAACAAAATATACATGCATGTACATACTATGAAATATGTATTATGTAATTTTTGTGATTCTATGTATAAGTTAAATGCTTTTATATTTGCATTTTAAATTGATACTGCACAACATAAAAATGAATGTGAAAATTTATTGTGGTAATTTAGATTTTTAATTTTTTTACATAAAAGGACATAGAATAGCAAAGGAAAAACAAAACAAACAAACTGAAAGACGTAACAAGTTGAAAAATAGATCACAGATAAAGGAAACATTTTATACTTTGATACACTTAATAGAACCTTTTGCTTATATTTTGAACTAGAGCCCCACACTTTCATTTTGCACTAGACCTTACAAATTATATAATCAACCCTGGACACTGAATTAAGACAAAAGCCAATATTTACAAAAATGGGCACCATAGCCCAAGCTATTGCTTTGAAGCTACATTAGTTCCTGTTTCCAGCTGTGAGCCTGAACTCCATTTTAGGAAGTGAGACTGGCCAGGGTTTCTGTGTAGAGTTTGGCATTTTTATTCTCTAGGACCCTGCAAGAGTCTACAGTAATTGTAGACTCAAAAATGTCAGAGATTGCTGCTTGTATTTATATAATGCCCCATACTGGAGAAGGCAGCCTCTCTCTATTACGGAATAAAGACAAGACTGTGGCTTTGGTATTTTTTTATCTTCTAATTCCTGGTCCATGGAGATAGTTATCTTATTTTGTTTATATCTACCTTTTAAATTTTATTTATTCATATTCTCCTGCCAACACTCTGTATTTGTAGCAGAGTTCTGGGCAGATGTCTCCACAAGAACAATCATTAACAAAAGTAAGAAGCACAGTTTAAGATAAACAAATTTAATGAAACATAAACATTAGATGTTATATATTTAATATTTCTAACAAAAATGAAATAAGAAAAAGAAAGAACAGAAGAAAGAACAAAAGGAAGAAAGACAAAAAACAAATAGTTTATTTTCTGAAATGTCTACATCAAAATGATTCACCCTTGCTGCCTCTCTTTGGTGATCACAGAAAAGCTCACTACGATAATCAACATTCACATGAACACAACTCCATGTGTCTGATGTTTACTAATACGAAAAAGTTGTTTCCCTTCTTTGCCAGATCTTTTAAATTTGAATTTATGTTGTGATCAATGATTATTAGATTTGACCAAAGAATCCTTTTATCTCTGTTTAATTACATTTCTTGTCATCAAGAAGTTAATATTGCAAAAACAAACAAACAAAATGAAGTATTTCCTTGGCAGTCTCAACAACTGAAAACAAAGCAAGCAAAATGGACACAAGCCATCTAGAAGACTTCATCAAATATTATTTTACTTATTCCAAGCTAAACCATCATTACTCTTGTCTCTCAGCTAGGGAACTTAAAAAGATGATCATATTCTGAAACTTTAATGTTCTATAATAATTGTTTATCTGTGAACCTGCAGCAGAGCCATGAACAAAGGAAATTATTCTCTTGTCTGAAACGTCTGCATTTTGCAATGTGTGGAGTGGACATTTGGGGGTGTAGAGCATAGTGAACACGTTTCTTCAGTTCCAGGGAATTACCAATTCAGTACCTTCAACCTTATATTTTGTAGCTTAAGTCCATGTTTGGAAATGTCATCTCTTCCATTCTAAAATAATTTGTATTTCTTGCCCAATTTCACTTGCCTAGTCTCAAGGTAAACAGTTTGGAAGTGGTAGTGCCTGATAATTTTCTAACTTAAAAGTGCAATGCCCACTTGGAATTCTATCCAATTAAGGCAAGGAAGTACCCACTGTCACCAATACTGCTTTATCAGCCAGTTTTATTCTAGCAGCTGCATCAAGCAGCTGGTTCTGAGACTAATTCCACATCTTTCCAAAACATTATTGGTTTTTCCTCTCTCCCTGAGTAGTGTTAAGGATGGTAGAAGTAGATGGATAGCTTTGCTCTATGTTGACTTATATGCATTGAAGTATCAACTACTGACCTGCCTGTATGAGAAATGTGTGCTTTCTTCAGATGATAAACAATGTCTTGTCAGTTGGATCTCTTTAGGAATCTCATCTCTGATTAATAATATCTGATTGAAGACTTAACTTGAAACTTATTAGGTCAACAAAAAGATTAGTAATAAAAAATATACACCCTGAAGTGAAACATAAACAGAAAATATGCAAACAAGCCAAAATTAACTTTTTAAAGTCATGATTTTTATTTCTATATTAAAATAAGTATATATCTTTGCAATTTATCATATAAGTATCATACAATATACTGAGCATCCACTATGCCATAGTGTTCCTGGTATTTTTGAGAAAGCGTCCTATGTTCAAATACTGCATTGGTTCTCACTAAAGGAATGGTATTAAAGTAATTATATTACCACACACAACCTTAAACTTCTCATCCATAAATAACACCTTATTTGCACAGTTATTTAAAGGATTTATAAAAGATATGCCAGTCATTTGTTAACTGTATTGTCCATAAGAATCACCAGGAAAGCAGGTTTACATATAGATTACATGGATTACAGCTCCATAGATTCCAATTCAGTATATTTTAACAGTGTGCAAGAATATTCCTTTTAAGCATAAACCACAGTGACTTTGATTTAAGTAGTCAGTGGATAGTTAATAATTATCTATATATAAATCAACTAGTACAATGTCATAGGTTAGGGGTTTTGCAGGTAATAGGAATTAGATAACATGTAGTTAGAGTTATAGTGAGATACTGGTGTTACCTAAAACTTCTCACTCTCTAGGGTTCTGTTCAGCCCTTAACTAAAGGCAAGTAGAGGAGGAACCCCTGTCTGAGATCAGTCCAGATCCATTTATCATAATCCTTGTGCTGAATGCCTGACCATGTTGTCAGGTTATGAGTCTTATATTGGGTCAGTCTAACTGGAGTAAATGTAGATATATTAAGTGCTGAGATCTCAATCTCTCCACTAGCAATTGCTCACGCTTCTGTTTACTCCTCTGGTGTTTATAAAATCATGGCTTTAAGGATGAGATATGATATAAGAAATACGTTGTAGGCAATTTCATCATTGTGAAAACATCATAGAGTGTACTTACATAACCTGGATGGTATAGACCACTACAAATCTAGGATATATGGTATAGCTTATTGCTTCTAGGCTACAAACCTTTGTAGCATATGACTATACTGAATACTGTAGACAGCTGTAACGCAATGGTAAGTAATTGTGTATCTAAACAAATCTAATCATATAAAAAGTACAATAAAAATACAGTATAAAAGATATTATAAAACACGGTACATCAATATGGGGCACTTATGATGAATGGAGCTTGCAAGACTGGAAGTTGTTCTGAGTGACTTAGTGAGTGAGTGCTGAGTGAATATGAAGGCCTAGGACATTACTCTACATTACTGTGGACTTTATGAACGCTGTATACTTAGGCTACACTAAATTTATTTTTTAATATAATTCTTCAATAATGAATTAACCTTAGCTTATTGTAACTTTTTTACTTTATGAACTTTGTTTTTTTTTTAACTTTTGGACTATTTTGTAATAACACTTTGCTTAAAATAGAAACACATTGTACAGCTGTGCAAAAGGATTTTCTTTACATCCTTATTCTACAAACTATTTTTTCTATTTTTAAAACTTTTTAAATTTACTTATACTTTTAAAACATTTTTCATTTAAAAGTAAGACACAAACACACTAGTCTAGACCTATAGAGGGTCAGGCTAATATCATTGCCTTTCACTTCTTCATGTGTTCCCACTGGAAGGTCTTCAAGGACAAAAACACACATGGAACTGTCATCACCTATTACAATGCCTTCTTTTGGAATACCTTTTCAAGGACCGGCCTTTTCAGGACCTTTTCAAGGTCCTGTTTTACAGTTAACTTTTATTTTTCTTATAACTAGAAGGATTACACTCTAAAATAACAAGAAAAGTATATTATAGTAAATACATAAGCCAGAAACATTTATTTTTCTTATCAAGTATTATGTACTGTGCATAGTTGTACGTGCTACACTTTTAGATGGCCTGCAGCACAGTAGGTTCATATACACCAGGATTGCTACAAACAAGTGAGTCATGCATTGGACTACAATGTCATGGCAACCACGTCACTGGGAGACAGGAATTTTTCAGCTCCATTATAATTTTGTGGAGCTTGACTGAAACGCATATTCGTTGACTGAAACATCGTTATGCAGCACATGACTGTATTCCTAAAAGCTATGCACAAGTCTAAGTGGCAAAGGAAGTGATGTCAGTGCCATCTCCTGAGCTGTCTTCCTATACATTTCTTAGAAGGCCTGAGAGTTGCACTTATCCCTGGCCTCTTTGCTCATTCAAATGTTCTTTCAGCAACATCCCCATAGAAAAGAAAAGTCCTTTCTGGAGAGTAATGCAAATAAATCTGGGACCCCCAGAGAGTCTATGCAAATGATCAACAGGTTTAGAACAACATGTTTAGAAAATGACCAGAAAGTAAAATTTTTAATTAACATGTAAATAAACTGATTTATGGGCTGACTAGCAGCTTATATCTTTTTTTTATCCTCCCTGAGAAGTAGAAGGGTAGTTAGTTAGGGGAATCTTGGAAATTGGTTGGATTTCTAACAGTTGCCTTAAGGGGATTGTCATAAAATGTAAATAAAATAAGGTACTAGCAAAAGTGTGTGATTTGTGATGAATCACTTGCAGATTTTTCTTTTCCATGGTACTAAAACATCAATGAACAGAGACTAATTACTTTGATCAAGAATTTCAATTTAAGGAATCCCTTTACTAAAACACAAATATGTTATATGATTACTACATAACTAACTGCTCTTTTGGAAAACTCACTTTCACAAATTGATATTGCATGTTAAACTTTTAAGACATGGAATATAGAAAGGGATGCTTCCCAGACATTGGCAGAATGCCTCAGGATGGTAGAGGTATTGCTCTCACATGGGAACATGTACCTGGGAGGAAAAACTCATGCACCACAAGTGGGGAGATGAGAATAGAAAGGAAAGGTGGACAGGACTGAACTGAAAATTCAATTACTTTACAATTCTTCTCAGGCTTTCCCTGTCTTTAAATCATCTTGAGAGGCAGATTTGATTTTATGCTACACTGCAGGGCAGGGAAGAGGAATGAGTGCTATTCTGTGTGCTCACCTTTGGATACAGGTGTGAGAACGATATCCTCTGACTGACTCAAATCCTGAGCAGAATGAAGAATTTAAATTATTTCATCATGACTGCTAAATTTCAAAATGAATTACATGATTTTAAACAAACAATTTTAAGCATCATAGATGACAATAATGATTTGTAATAGGAATAAGCTGATGATTTGCTTGTTAAAATATTTTAAAATTTAGTTTTTTAAGTTTATCATCTCAGCTTTAATTTGCCTAAATAGCAGTGAAATCAGCTTTCCATTGAGTACGGAGCTGTTTAAATCAGGGGTAGGCAAACTGCAAACTGGTAAATCTGGCCCACCACCTGTTTTTAGAAATAAAATTTTAGGGAAACACAGCCAATTTGCTGGCTGCTTTCCAGCTACAACAGTAGATTTGAGTAATTATAACAGACACCTATAGCCTGCAAAGCCAAAATTTGCTATCTGACCTTTTACAGAAAAAGTTTGATGACCCCTGGTTTAAATGTAATCGCTTCTTTAAAAAATCTCAAAGCCTAGGTAGCTTTTAAACAAAATGACTCTTTAGTAATTGAACAAAGCTATCTTGGCTGACACATGAATCATAGGAATATTGAAGAATGGCATCATAGTTTGAAATGTTAATTGAAAAATTAGCCTAAAAACCCAATTGTCTCTTCTTCGATGTAATTTCAGTGTGATGATTTACTAAAAATTATATTATAAGATTAACAAGTGACGTTTAAAATTTCTCAAGTATATTTAAAATATGATTGTATATACTTCTTTTTAGGAACACAATACTGCCTACATATAATTAAAATTCATTACAAAGAGAAGTGATGTACTGTATAATTAAATATTTAAAATGCACGTTGATATTGATATAAGCCATTGGCTTGACTGTAAGATATTAAGTCAAAGTATTGGTTGGAATAGTCTACAACTAGAATCAGGACTAAAGGATCTAACTGGACAATGGTCCTGTTACCCAAGAAAACTGATTTGTGTTTAAAAACAATACAGTAATAGGACATATTCATATGCAATTTGAGCGGATGCCATTATCAAAATGGTAGGATGTGGTAGCTAGGTATTCCACTCTAGACCAATATGTGTAATCAGGAAGGCAGGCCAGGGCAAATGAATGGAGAGCTTGGCAGAGTTAGTAATTCACATGCCTGAAACCTAGACTCAAATCTTACTCAAGTCGCTTCTTATCTGATGTTAACATGTCATTTTCCAGAACATTTCTGAACTTCGATTTCCCCCTAGGAAATCTAAAATGAGGATATGTATCTCAAAAGACAGCATATGGGGGTCATATGAGAAAAGCATGTGAAACAGTTTCATCTGTAGGAGAGCCACTTTAAAATTTGTGAATTAATTTTTATTTTTGCTCATATTGGTATTGTGACAGTAAACATTTACCCCCTAAAACAAGCTATAATATTAGCTGGGCATGGTAGGGCACACCTGTAATCCCAGCATTTTGGGAGGCCAAAGCAAGGACAGCCTGAAACCAGGAGTTTGAGACCATCCTGGGCAACATAGCAAGATCCTGTCTCTACAGAAATATTAAATAAAATAAATTGTCTATGAGTGGTGGTGTGGGCCTGTGGACTTAGCTACTTGGAAGGCTGAGGTGGAAGGATTGTTTGAGCCCAGAAGTTTGAGGCTACAGTGAGCCATGATTGTGCTTCTGCATTGCAGCCTGGGTGACAGAGCAAGACCCTGTCTCTAGGAAACACACACACACACACACACACACACACGTGCACAAACACACAAATACTATTAACATAGATTTCTAATTTTTATATTTAACTTTTTAAACATATATTTTCTTTAGAAATGTATATTTCCTTTGTATACTTGGAAGATGAAAAGGGAGGTCTTAATGGGTGACACATTACAAACAGGTCTGATGGGGGAGCTTATCTCCTCCACACTTTTTGTAGTCTCCAAAGCCCACCACAGGGCTAAACATGCCTGTTTGTGTTTGTGGCTGCCTTCATTTGCTGCCATAACCACCTTGAACATTTGCTTGATGGAGGAGTTTCTTAGGAATAATTAAGTCTTAACAACGCCACATCATAGAGGAAAGACAATATCTAAATCAGAAATGTCACCAATTTGCGTATCAAACTAAGATGCTAAACAGAAACAGGGACAGAGGATGAAAGGGGTTGGAGGGAGAGGGGGTGGAAAACAGGAAAGCCTTACAAGAGACTAGGGAAAGTAAAAAGCAAGGAAAGGCAAGCAGTTTTGAAGACAGTTCAATCATTACTGACTTTCCCCCAGGATGTTTCTTTTAGATAGAGTCCACCTCACTTGGATCAGATGGAAGTGAACTCTTTTAAAAAGTTGAACAGGGCCAGAAAGACAGTGCCTCAGAGACTTGCTTAGCAGGCCAAATAAACCTCTCTGAACACCTTCCCCTAGAGAACTATTCATAGAGAAAGTTGCCTGCCTCACCCATTAAAGCCCAGGCTTCCTGCCAGCCAGTGGAGAAGTTTATTTTCACTTACTTGTCCAGCACAGGAACACACCTGGAAGAGCTCTGCTTTCTCATAATCCTCTATATGAGGATTTCTGATAATTAAAATTTGAAAAACAGGTGATACCTTTTGGGTGAAAACCTGAAAATTATCTGTGAGCTATAAATGATGACCAAATTAATTATTATGTTTATTTATTTATAGCCATACTTTTATTTATAGCCATTATTTATAGCTATTCTTCTATTCCACCAAAAAAATCTGAAAATCATTCATTATAGAGTAAAAACAGGTATGGCAAAATACGTATGTATATATGAGATACATATATAATTTGGTATGTTATATGTATCTATTATACAAAATATAAAATATATATTACACATGTAAATCTTGCTTTTTTTTGTTTTTAGACAGAGTCTTGCTCTGTTGCCAGGCTGGAGTGCAGTGGTGCGGTCTCGGCTCACTGCAACCTCCGCCTGCGGGTTCAAGCAATTCCCCTGCCTCAGCCTCCCGAGTAGCTGGGACTAGAGGTGCGCACCACCAAGCGCAGCTAAGTTTTTGTATTTTAGTAGAGACGGGGTTTCACCACGTTGGCCAAGATGGTATCGATCTCCTGACCTCGTGATTCGCCCGCCTCAGACTCCCAATGTGCTGGTATTACAGGTATGAGCCACTGCGCCCAGCCCAAATCTCGTTTTTCTTTAGAGACCAAATTCTTAATAGAGCGGTGCCTGAAAACTTATAAACTACAATGATGACCTTGATATTTAGGATTACAATAATAATCCCTGCCATTTATATGCCCATGTGACCAGCATGCTAAAAACAATATCTAAATCAATCCAAAACTCTAGGAAGTATGCAATAATATTTGTAGCTAACAAAGAAAATAAGTAAGTTTGGTTTCCCACAAAAGTTAATATTTTATTTTATTTTTTAAAGACAGGGTCTCCCTGTGTTGCCTAGGCTAAATTCCAACCCCTGGGCTCAAACGATCCTCCATCCTTAGCCTCCCAAGTAGTTGCAACTGCAGGCATGCACCACTGCACTCAGCTCAGAAACTTATATTTTAAATCACACTGTCTAATAGCTATAATCATGATTAAGTAATGGAATTAAATTAATCAAATTCAATGTGCATATAATCATATTAAAATACCTAAAGTTAGTCTAAGTTAAGGACTGTGTCAAACTGCTAATAACATAGTATCTTGCCAGCAGCAGCATGAGTCTATCCAGATCTAACAATTTTAAATCTAGTGATCTTTCCTTGAAACTCAACTACCCATAAGAGTCAGTAGCCAGAAAAACAAATGGCTTTCTCTCCAAAAGTAAAAATAGCTTTCCTCGTGATATAGCTATAGATGGAACAGGCCTAACTGTGCTCTAATTATGAGAAATACATTTTATTTATCCTCTGGAAGTATTATTTGCTCAAGTTTTGGGGCAGTTCTCACATTTGTCTTTATGAATAGTTCTGGTATTACAAATACTTCAATTTTAGAGAAAATGTAGCTACACATTTTTACTAATGTTGTGAAGAATCAGACACTTCCAGATCCAAACCATACATTTTTGATTTTGTATTTACAAAGTGGTAAATATAAAACTACCTTAGAATGTCATATGGGAAAATATAGTATTTTCTTAGATTACGAGAATAAATCTACATATCTAAATCAGAAATGTCACCAATTTGTATATCAAGCTAAGATGCTAAACTGAAACAGGGCCAGAGGATGAAAGGGGTTTGAGGAAGATGGGGTGGAAAATAGGAAAGCCTTACAAGAGACTAGGGAAAGTAAAAAAGCAAGGAAAGGCAAGCAGTTTGGAAGATATTAGTTCTGTGAACTAATATTCTTATATTATAAAGTATTATACTATTAGTTGTGTGAACATGCAATGAAAAAAATCAGAGATTACTGTACTATTAAAAATGTTAAGCTATGAATGACAGCATAAGTAGTATAGTTCAAAAGATTAATTGAACTTCCTAATCACATATGGAATTTCATTTATGTTATGTAGCGAGAACTCTCTAACATGCACACAATTACTCAAATTTCACATAAATATATTTATACCTATTAATTCATATTCAGAATTATTGGAATATGGATGTCTTATTGCCCATCTAAAAGAGATAATGTATTAATGGTTTAGTCTCTCCAAAGAGTGTTTATTTGCAATATATATATATTTCATATTTAGAAGAGCTCCAAATTTGAATATAGATGGACTAATAATAAGGTCTTTGGCTGTACTCAGCAGTGCAAATGACACTGAGTAATTCTCACAGCTTCTGCAGAATCTACAAATGCAACCTTATTCAGATTACTAGATTAGATACCTTTGCAAATTAAATATAAGTAACAATAAGATTTTTAAAAAATGCATGGGAAGCCATTATTTTATTCTTTAAAAATTAATGAGCTCATGACAGAAAAATAGGTTAGAAGGGTCAACAGTCAATTCATGAAAAATATATAAAATAGCCCTTAAACATAACAAAAGATGTTCCACCTCATACCTAGAGAAATGAAAATTTCTATCACACATGAGATATTATTACTTATCTCTAAAATTGGTTAAATAATAAAAATTATTATAATTGTTAATGAGGCTGGGGAAACAGGTACTTTCATATAATTCTAGTAGTAATATAAATTAGAACACCCATATAAAGGAGCATTTTATAATATCTAATTAATACACTAATAAGCTTAGCTTCTGGCCCACATCTAGAAATTTTCCATGAAGATTCAACTCCAATAATATAAAAAGATATCTGCACAAAATTATTTATAGCAGGAAGATTTATAATTCCAAAATGTTGTAAACAAATTAAATGCCCAAATGTAAAAGAATAGTTGAAAAAGATGCGCTCCATCTGCATATTGGAGTATTGTCCAGCTGTAAAATAAGGAATAATATTTTCATGAGCTGAATGGAGTGATTTCCAGCTTATGTTATTAAAAAAAAGAAATATTCAAAGGAATATATATATATATATATATAGAGAGAGAGAGAGAGAGAGAGAGAGAGAGAGAGAAAGAGAGAGAGAGAGCTCTTTTGTGTAAACAAAAAGAAAAAATACATATATACAGACATACACACACAAGGAGAATAAATAAATAACTGAATCAATTACCTAGAGGGGTGAGGGGCTGGAATTAGGTGGAACAGGGTGGAAGCAGTAGAGAAAGAATAGGGGACAAATATGTGGCACCTCTCAGAATACACACTGGGGCACACTCCTATCTTTTGAAACTATGTGAATCATTCATAGTATACTACGTATATGGGAGTTTGTTTGAGTCTTTCCTTCAAATCTCATGCTGAAATGTAATCCCCAATGTTGGAAGTGGGGCTTAATGGGAAGTGTTTGGGCCATGTGGGTGAACCTCTCATGAATAGATTAATGTCCTCCCTATTGAGTGGGGGATGTTGAGTGAGTGAGGTCTGCCTCTGTAGTTTCCATGAGAGCTTCTTGTTAAGAAGAACCTGGTATCTGCTCCCCTTTCTCTCTTGTTTCCTCTCTGCCCAAGCTGGCTTCCCTTTGCCACATACCAGATTTTGAACTTTCCAGACAACAAAATCACAAACCAAATAAACCTTTTATTCCTTATAAATTACCCAGCCTCAAGTATCCCTTCATAGAAATACAAATGGACTAAGATAATGTACTCAAAAATAAGATAAATAAATTAACCAAAGTAAGACATTGGGGACCTACCCAAGTAACTTTGAGCATGTATTTCGGTTAATGCTCTTAGATGAAAGAGAAAAGCAACTTTAAAAAACATTAAATCAGAACTGGTAAACTTTTGTCTTCTTTTCTTTCACCGTTTGGGTTGTTTTTGTCATTGTTATTTTTTTTGCCACTAAATTGGGTAAGCTACTTTCTATGAACTTATGTTTGAGAAAATAAAATAAAATAATCCAGTTCCTTCACATTTATTCTTGGAATAATTTATTCAATATACATACATTTATTGAATATCTAATAAATAGTAGCTACCAGGTTATACAAACATAACTAAACAAAAATTAAGGAACAGCAAATGTATTTAGTGAGCTCAAGTTTTATTTAGAAAGACAAATGTGCAAAAAATAATTTCAGGATAGAAAATTAAATGCAACAAAAAAGAGTTATGGGAGAAATTTTCATATGTTTGTATATACTTGTGGGTGGTGGATCAAAGATATTTTCAGGAAGTAAACAAAAATCTACATACACTTTCTTAGGGGAGGATATGGTTAAACAAGGGTTTTGAAGCACTGTTTTTTCCTGAAATTAGTTAAAAGAGATACCAGCAAAGTAGCCCGATCCATGTACATAATAAATGGGTCACTGCTGAAAGGCTCATAATAAATGTAGCTGCCAGAATTTGAAATTACAAAGACAATTTTTGTAGACATTCAGCTACCTTGTGAAATTAGCATAATGCACACAAAAAGAAACATATAAATGATTTAATAATTTATATTTAAATATCTGTTAAACATTTTTATTAAATTGTCAGGACTTTGTTTGCTAGGTGATTAATGAGGGTCCTATAAATAAAAGAATGCTGTGTAAAAATACTTATAATCCATCTCTTTTGGGATGTTCATATTCAGAGAATAGACTATTACCGCTCCCATTACACAAAGATGCCTTTTAGAGGCAACTATTTTCAAATTGGTTTAATTACATTGTAGCTAATTTTAATTTGATTAGAATTTATGGCATCTATTCATTGCCTCTCAAATAAAATAAAAGACTCAATAAATGTATAATTAAATATAAAATCTTCAAAAGGAGTGAAGCAATGGACAAGAAAAGGATATTCTTTTATCTGTCACCAGACTTGAACCCATTTGTTGGCTTGCAAATGAACTGTCAGAAGGGCAAGTAAAGAAAATCTGCTTTGCATGGGTGTCACAGATTTATTGTGTGCAAAGAGTATTTGCTTTCTTCTATACAAGTCAGTGTGAGAGGTAAAGGAAAATGACTTCTTTATATTATATGCCACAGACAGTACACTGTATCATCTCACTTCAAGGGGAATTTAAGTATGGATACTCAAATTTAAGTATCATAAGTTTTAGGAGAAAAAAGTTGGTAACATTCACTCCATATTGGTTATTACATATTCTTTCCATGAAATGGCTATTATTTCCATGAAAAACTTAAGTACTGTAGTATAGGACATTCTCTTCTATATTTAAACTTAGGAAGACTGGCTTCAAAGAGTTATACAATTAACAGGGAAAGTTACTTAATTTTTTCATAAACAAGCTACATTTATCTTTGAAGATGAAGGCATCATTTCACTTGAATGGTTTTCCTATCTCTTCTGAGAATTCTTCCTCACAGGGGGAAAGTATTCTGCTCTGCAATTTTAGATTCAGGACTAGAAAGGAAGTCATTGACATAGATAGCTGAATTTCATCTCACAATCTATTCTTGATTTCTGCTGCTAGTGCTATATTATATATAATTCTATATATCATATATGTAATTCTATATATAATATTATACTGTATATTATATATTATATACTACATATATACATAATATATATTATTCTGGTCAAAAAGTTGCAAAATCACTAATTTTGTTATACCTTGTTAGAATAGTAACAAATTTTACTGGCAAAATGTGTCACTTATATCATATAACTATAGATATTAATAACCTAACACCATCTTAGTAAAATAAGTTATCTTAATTGACTAGTATTTGTGAGACTAAGTCTTCCATTTTTATCTAGTGGTATCTTTTATCAGTAATAAAATAAACTCTGTATTTCAATTTGATTACTTAAAATGTGTCACTCCTTTTGCAAAATACAATAAATTCAAAGAAATTTATTATGTGAATATTTACTCTAGTTGTAACAAATTCTAATATGATTTGACACCTGTAAGGTTTCTTTAAACATGATCATTTTCCAGAGGCCATATATTTTGACATTATATTAAATTAAAAGTGTGCCTTAGTTGGATTACTTTATAAAACACAGGCCCGCTAGCACGAGGATTTCAGAATGACTGGGTCATAGTTCCAGGTTTAATAAAATACTCATACTATCTTCTGTTAAAAGAATCTCTCCCCTGCTGGGAAACAGAGCATCTAATAACAGCAGAGCCTAAATATGCAATATGGGAAGAGCAAATTCTCCAAACAGGTTTCTGGAAGGAATGTTAAAAAGAACTAAACTTTACTTTAGTCTTTGGTTTCTTTATCTGTTATTCTATATACTAAAGAAAGAGACCTATGTGCTGGCTGCTGGTTTGGTACATAGAGTGTATTATATAGTGGGTGCTGTCACCAAAATAATAGTTCAGCAAAGCTTTTAACAGATCATTGCATTGTTCTACCACGCTAGTATTTTTCCCTAATACAGATTACATGAAAACATAAGTAGAGCCTATGATTACTCATTGTCATAACTCTTTTATCATGAAATCATTCCTTTTTCTTAGATGTTATACTGTATCTCTTGTCGGCAAGTCAGAAAATCCACAAGCCCTCAGAAAGTGGTACAAGTGGTGGTAGAGAAGTTATCCCCAAAAGATAAATGCCTGTTGTGTCCAGGGTGAAATGAGTCTGATGTAACTAACTTCTCAACACTTGGCTCGCTGTTCTCTTTGGATTACAGCACTATATTGAAGACTCTTCATTGGTAGTTGCTCCTGGCAGATAGGGTAATGAGTTGTGGCATGATCTAGATCATTCTTAATGAGAAGGTCCTCTATAGTATCGGAGTCATGTATTATATAACCCTGCCTGCCACCATGCCCCCTGCATTCATGGGACTTTTACACAGAGTAGTCAAGAAGACAGGCTGGCTAACCACCACCAGGTAAAGCATTACATTCACCTGTTTGGTAAATGACTTTTCTGTAGAGAATGGTCTGCGGTGGGAATTTGCAGGAGACACAAAATCTGCATGCTTTGTACTCACTCTCAAAGGTGTATTGATAATACCTCCTCTTAGACGTCTTTGTTGATTTTTCAATCTTGCTTGTTTTACACTCATGACCAAAAAGTCAAGCCATTCTCCACTGTCTGAGTCCATGTATGTCCTTACCTTAGACGACTTTACCCTCTATAATTGTGAAAAACAATGTGAATGGCTCACAGCAATAATCATTGGACAGATCCTTACCCATGGCATGCTATCACGAGTGACTCGTGAGAGTGGATGTGGTGTGGTAACATTCTATATTTAGCTCACATCAATATACCAGGGAAACCCATCCATTATCTAGGTCCAAGATATATTCCACTTTTGGTAGGTAGCTGTAAAGAATTCTACATGAGAACACAGATGTAGATAAGAGAGAGAAATCTGTGCAAAAGAGGCAAGTTTTATGAGTCTAGACTACATCTTCATGTAACATCTTTATAAACATTTTACTGCTCAATGTTATACAAAATGGAAACTTTCTATTATATAAAAAATTGTTATTATAGTTGCATTAACCTAATCCTTAGAGTATCTGATGTTTCCCAACATTTTATAGGCAGTTATCTTTGACTTCAGAATGATACTAGTGCCTAATAGCATACTAAGAGCACTATTTTCCATATGATAAGTAGTTTTCTGCTACATATTACCTGGCCTTGATCTGTAGTCTTTTTGAACCTCCACGAAGCATCTGTAACAGTCGTGGATATCTGCAACAAGATACAGCACTTTTAGATATTCTGAATAATATATTTTAAGTCCAGAACAGCTTATGCTGTAGTCTCTCCCCATACAGAGCCCATTGTCATCTAGGTCCCACATGAAACTGGAATCTTCCTGCATCATTAATACATTTTGGCATATACCCAGATGTAGTATATATTGTCTTTAAAATCCAAAGAAACCTACTAAATGTTATGCCTCTTATGTAGAGGCTCAAGGTGCAATAACTTGTTCTCTACTTTTGACAGAATGCTCTGATATGCTTCAGAACATTGCAGCCATGAACACTTTTTTGATGAGGCAGGATTTTTAACATTGTGATATTTTTCTCCCATATCCTGCCATGCATCTATCTTACATAGAATTGCCTGATCACTACAGCCAAGTAACTTGATCTTATCATATAATGGACTATCATAATATTCTTTAGGAAGTCAAGAGATAAAGATTCAATAGATTATATTACGACCCAAATTGTGATAATTAAGGCAGCCTAGGGCATGACGGTAAATGTTCGCTGTTGTCCTTTTCATGTAAAACAGAATTTGTTTTGATTTTCCTAAAGTATGGGGATTGAAGACAAAACATGCTACTGATCAATAACTATATATCAAGTTTAATAGGTAAAATATTAGTCAAAGCCCATACAGAGCAGTCCTTTGCAGCTACAGCTGTAATTACAGATGAGGTTGTGTTGGTGTGAGGCAGTGCAGAAAAAACATCTTACACAAAATAAAAAACTGATTGCCATTAAAATGAATGTCAATTTCTAGCTTGATGTAAGTTTTAAATTATTTTAAAACCTTTATATTAAGTGAAATATCCTATCTTGTTACTCACATTGTAAAATGATGTTAGGATGATGGCAAAGCTAAATGTGATGTATTTATATAGTGAGGATACCTCTTAAAATTTATAATGTGTCAGTCAGTACACTGGATGCCTTATATATTGTAATTCATTTAGATGTTTTACTACCCCAGTGATAAATTTCATCCTCATAGAGGTTATCTGTCAAAGTCACACAGTCATTACCTGGAAAAATCTGAGAGTCAAATCTTATCGATTCAAAAGCCACCATGCTTTCCCTTATATTACCTTTCTTCCTAGTATTTGGCATAGTTTTAGGGAATTTTATTTTCTAAAATTTGTTGTATAGGAACTGTTATTTTCATAGATAAACAACTGGAGGTGAACATAAGAATAAACATCGTAGAGTGATATAAAATTATGTAATCTAGCTTATCTAATATATTTAAATTTAATAAATAATGGTAAAATTAGCTAAAATCTTACCAGCAGCTACCTACAAGGAAAGAGGACCCTTCTAATGACAAAATTCACAAAGTAGAAGCTGAGAAATAAAATGGATTCTGGATCTGTGAAGAGCAAGGCCCTGAACTGCAACCCTAAGAATCCTATGAATCTATTATAATTATTCTCAAAAACTATTCTTACAGGTATCAATTTAGTCTGTAGAGAGGAAACTAAGTTAAAGTGCTATAGTTTCCTCCTTTCCCTCTTTGCCTGGGATGTAGACCTAGGTGGGTTTTGTGGAAAGATAGGCAAAATGGTGAAGGGCTGGTGAACACCCAGAGCTGTTGTGCAAGTTGAGACTGCAGGGCTGGATACCACAAGGATGTCTACCCATGTGATATGGTTTGGCTGTGTCCCCACCAAATCTCATCTTGAATTATAGTTTCTGTAATCCTCATATGTGATGGGAGGGACCCAGTGGGATGTAATTGAATCATGCAGGCAGTTACCCTCATGCTATTCTCATGATAGTGAGTTCTCATGGGATCTGATGGTTTTGTAAAGGGCTTTTACCCGTTTTGCTCAGCACCTCTCTCTTGCCTGCTGCCATGTAAAATGTACCTTTGCTCTTGCTTCACCTTCCGCCATGATTGTGAGGTCTCTCCAGCCATGTTGAACTGTGAGTCCATTAAACCTCTTTTTCTTATTAAACTACCCTGTCTAAGGTGTGTCTTCATAGCAGTATGAAAATGGACTAATACACCATGAGAATTGGTTTTCCTCATTATACGTTATTTAGACAGAAACAAAATAATATCCCAACTCTTCAGATCATTTACATTGATTCTTTATTCATTAGAGAACCCAAATCCTGGATATCTCATTGTCTGTGATTTTCTCGTAAACTCAGGTAAGTTGGCCTAGACCTGCTATGGGCTATAGCACAATTATACAGGCAAGAAAAGTCATTGGTCTAGAGCATCACATTACTGCAAACATGGCAGAAAAATCAAAGAAGTAACTCAAAAATCATGGCAACTTTTGAAGCTCCCAGAACTCTGAATTACTTTACATATCACTCAGATAAGTAGGGCAAGCCAAAGTACCCTTGTAAAGGATAAATCTCATTTTTTTAAAAAAAAGAACAGCATAGACAGAAAATGAATTTTAAAGGTCCTTCATACATTTCCCAATGCTTCCTCTTCTGGTTTCAACAGATATACTCAGTCTCTTAATACTGTGTCATCGTTTATTTCCTAATTTTTTACAATAAGGTGACCTTAGTCTTGCAGGTGGTAAAAATGGAAATTATTGAATAAACCGTGCCACAGATGAGAACTGCTCTTTTAAAGTCAAAAATTGTTCCACTTTATGCGTCTTCTCTAAAGTGCATGCATTTCAATTCCCTGTTTGCCCTTTCTTCTATTTTAATATAATTGAGTGGCAATGATGTTCTCTGGAAAGTGTTCCTTGTGGAAGAAGTTAGATAACACATATTCACTAGAAGGAAAAATATTCCTGCTAAAAATTCCTTACCCAGCATTGAGATATACTTTGCAGTTTGTACCTTCCCATTTTGTTTTGCACTGCAGAATCTTGTAAACTAAATGCTTTCTACTACCTTCATGGACTTATTTTATTATTATTATTATTGTAAGGGAAGAGCTCAATTTATGTTTCTATATTCTTCTAAGACTTTCCCTGCTGGGTATCACAACACTTATGGTTACTAAATTAATATCTCCAGCCTTATCTTTTCCCCTGAATTTCATATACTCAACTGTATTAGAAATCTTCATCTGTATGTCTAATAGACATCTCAAACATATACACCACATATAAAAATATCCATCGCAGATTCCATTGTATTTTTTTTTAATTGTCAGTTCCAGTTTTCCCTATTCTACTAAAAGTTTCTCTGGTTCCTCAAGTTCTAAACCTAGAAGCTACTTTCAGTTCGTCCATCACACACATTAATCATCAGCAAGTCATGCTGGCTTCGTATTCAAAATGCACAACCCAGATCTGATCATTTTGACTGCTTTCTTTTTGCTACCAACTTTGTCCCAGTCACCATCACTTGAAGCATAGATTAATTTGAAAAGTTTTTAATTGGTAACATGATTTTCACTTTTGCTCCTCTCCAGGGACAAAAATCATTTTTGACTCCACATGAGAGCCAAAACAATCTTTTAAACAATTAAATGATCAAAACATTCTGCTTTTTAACATTCTAGCATGTGTTCTCTTATTGGGGTCTATAACCTGATAAAAATTTGGGTTTTATTATAAGTATGATGAGAACACACACATTTTGGTCTTTGCCCACCTCTTAACCTTATATCCTACCATGTCCCTGTTAATTCTGCTAAAGTCAAACAGGATTATTTGATGAATATGCCACATTTGTTCCTGACTCAAAGGTGCCCCTCCTTGGAGTGTCTTATTCCCAGATTTCCATGTAGCCTCCTCTCTCCCTTGATTCAGGTCTCTTGTTCTAATGTCATGCGATCTACAATATTGTCCCCTTCCTCCACTAGGCTCACTCTAAAATGTTTTATTGTGTACCAACTTTTGATTTTGTATTACATATTGATTTATCCATAACTTATTTCTGTCTCAGCCAATATTAGATGAGAATCATAAAGAGAGGGATTTGTTTTGTTTTTTCATTTGTTTGTTTTTTCTATGTATACACTGCTTTATCTCCAAACCAGGAATTCTCAACTGTGGCACTACTGACATTCTGAAACAGATAATTATTTGTTGTGGATGGCCATGTTATGCATTGCAGGATGTTTGTCAGAATCCCTCTACCTACCTTAATCTCCCTGGTTTATCTTCAAATATTGCTAAATGCTCCATGAGGAAAAAAATTCACCTCTTTATGAAAAGTAATGTTACATACACTAACATTGCCTGCCACACAGAAAACGTTCTGTATTTGTCTTCTGTCTTTCTTTCTGTTTTAGGTATGTATCCCAGGACATTTAATGGCATAGGAAAATGTTGATTTCAGGTTGAAAGAAAGGAAATAGAAAGCACTTACAAAGTTCAATTATGCAAAACATTATAACATATTGGGCTATTTTTGTATTTGCATAACAAACAAAAAATAACTGAAAGAACACATAGTAAAATTATGTCAGTAGTTTTTCTGAGAGGTATGATTCTAAGTAATTTTTTTCTTTATAATTTTCTCTCTATTCAACTCACTTAATCATAATCTTTATAAATAATGAAAGAACAAGCAAAATATATATGTTATCAATGCCAGAATCAAATCCACATGTTGTTCTGTCCTGCTTTTAAAGAGAGTTTTTTTTTTAATGGTGCCTTTTTACATTGGAGACAATCTAGGGTGCTCTCTTAGAGAAACTGTTGAAAACTTTAGACAAACTGCATTTAACAGAGTTTATTTGAACAAAGAGTAATTCATGAATTGGGCAGCACTCAGGACCGGAAGAGATTGAGTGAACTCTCCCCAGCAAGTTTAGTAGCAAGTGAGTAGCAAGCTTATAGGCCAAACATGGAAGCAAAGTAGAGAAATAATTTGATTGGCTACAGGTAGGCATTTGCCTTATTTGACATGGTGTGATCAACTGGCTGCCTGTGATTGGCTGAAGCCCAGCTGTTTATGATTGACTGAAATACAGCTATATGTTACAAAATATATATACACTTGAGTTTTAGTTCATTTACCTACTGAGTTAAGTTGTAGCTTGTTTTGTAAAAACACAAAGTGTAGAAACATTCTCAGGCCAGTGGCCCTCTGCTTATTTCATTTAACAATATGGGCAAATTTTGGGAGGTAAATCACAAAGTCAGATGATAAAGCAGAGACTTGTAAAGTTTTTAGTTTGTGGCTTCTTTAAAATCTGATGAAAACTTTATACTTTTATCCCATTTGTCTTGCTCTTCTTTTGTTCCTAAAGTTTCAGGTTTCTGCCTGTTATTATTTTTCTTCAAACTGAAGAATGTCCTTATCAGTACTAAGCAAATCTAGTGGTGACAAAAATCTGTTAGTTTGCCTTCCGGTTTCAGCTCCAACATGTAAACAGCTTTGAAGCCATAATTCTCATACTTTGAGAAAAGTAATGCGAACAAACTGAAAATTAAGAACTTTTCACAGACTCCTTAGAGAATTAAAGTTGTACAGCAAACTGTCATACTGAAACTTGGAGAGATAAATGAATCCAGAGAATCTCAGCGAAGACTTCTTATCTAGAAGAGAGCCACTGGAGGCATAAATTAGTAGGTGCACTTAAGTAGTAATTTTGAGCGATTGCTGAAGGCTGAATGTAGACTATTGGAGAGTGAGAAACTCTTAGGGGCAACAGTTCTAATAAGTTCCATCCACTTTAGTGAGCTTTACCTCCAGGAAACCCATCAGGTTGTCATGATGTTGTTCCAGGAAAGATCCCCTTATAGGTCTGGCTAGAGTAGGAAAAAAAAATACTTTTTGTGAAATATGCTTAGAGCAGTCTCCATAAAAAAGGCCTATATTCCATGAGGAAAGACTTTACCAAGCTTTATTCCAAATGGAGAATGACATTCCTACCACTGCAGCATCATCTAGCCTTCCTATGTTATCTAAGAAGAAAAAAAGAAAAAGTTAAACCACTAGAGAAACACTTGCAAAAGTCATACCCAGAGGCATAGGTCTATGAAAGATGTTACCAGAAAGGAGTTCAGATCCAAACCTCAAGAGAAGGTTCTTGGATCTTGTGCAAGAAACAATTCAGAATGAGTCTACAGTGCAAAGCAAAAGCAAGTTTATCAAGAATTACTGCGGCTACTCCATAGGCAGAGTAGTCCCAAGGGTTGCTGGTTGCCCATTTTTACGGTTATTTCTTGATTATATGCTAAACAAGGGGTAGATTATTTGTGCCTCCCCTTTTTGGACCTTATAGGGTAACTTCCTGGTGTTGCCATGGCATATGTAAACTGTGATGGTGCTGGTGGGAGTGTAGCAGTAAGGATAACCAGAGGTCACTTTCATCACCGTCTTGGTTTAGGTGGGTTTTAGCCGGCTTCTTTACTGCAAACTGTTTTATCAGCAAGGTCTTTATGACCTGTACCTTGTGCCAACCTCCTGTCTTAGCCTCTGACTTAGAACGCTTAACCATCTGGGAATGCAGCCCAGTAGGTTCCAAACTTATTTTACCCAGCCTTTATTCAAGATGGAGTTGCTCTGGTACAAACACCTCTGACAAAAGGACTGTCACTTAATCATAAGATTATAGGATGCTTTCTCTCCCCAAACCTTACAACTGCACTAACAGGATTCCAGAATAAAAACAGTGGAGTACAATGGAAATAGCTTTAAGACACGTGCTCTCTCGAAGGAGGAGTACATAGGGAAATCTAAAGTCAACAGAGGAGACCAAAAAGAGGACACTGGAGGAATTTGAAGCCTCTGGCACCTACAGCGATAGTAAGGACATTGTTGACAAAAGCAGAACTATTAATCAACTTGATCTAATTGAATTCAAAGAATATTCTACCCCACTATAGCAGAATACATATTCTTTTCAAGTTCACATAAATTTCAAATTCATCAAAAAAGACCACCTCTCGAGTCATAAAGTACATCTTAATAAGCTTAAAAGAATAGAAATCATGCAAGGCATGTTCTCAGATTACAATGGGATTAAAATAGAAGTTAATAACAGAAAAATAAATGCACAATCCCCCAAATAGGTGACAATTACACAGAATACTTATAAATAACACAGGGCTCAATTGCAAAGTCTTGAGAGAATTTGTTTTAATATTTTAATTCAATGAAAAAAATACAACTTTGTAAGGTAGGATGCATCCTGGGAAGAAATTTATATCATTAAATGCACATATTAGAAAAGAAGGTAAACCAAAAATCAAAAACCTAAATTCTGAAAAATAAAAAATAAAAAAGCACCATTTTCAGATGGTTTCACTGGTGAATTTTAACAAATAATTAAGGAGGAAATGATACCAATTCTCCACAATCTCTTCCACAAAACAGAAACAAACACTCTTACTCATTCCATGTGGTCATCATTACCCTATATAAAAACCAGACAAAAGCATCTCAAGAAAGGATAGCTACAGAAAAATACATCTGACAGACATAGATATAAAAATCTTCAACAAAGCATTGGTAAATCAAATCTAATGCATAGAAAAGCACCAAAAGCATTTCAAAATTTAACACCCATAATGATAAAATCTCTTAGAAGACTTGAAACAGAGTATAGCTTTCTCAACTTGATCAAGAACATCTGCAAGAACCTTCAGTGAAAATCACACTTCATTGTGAGAAACTGGATGCTTTCCTTCTAAGATCAGGAAGAAGGCAAGAGTATCCTCTTTCAGATCTCACATTCTGCATCATCCTGGATGTCCTAGCTAGTGCAATAACACAAGAAAAAGAATTAAAAGACACATATAGGAAAGGAAAAAATAAAGCTTTTGTTACTCACAGATGACATGTTTTCTTTGTAGAAAATTCCAAAGATTCATCATCATGAAGAAGAAAATGAAGAGAAAGAAGATGAGGAGGGAAATGGGAAGAAGAAGAAAAGAAAAACTGGAATTAAAAAGTGAGACTATTAAGATTGTAATGTACAACATTAATACACAAAAATCTATTGTTTTTGTATATATCATCCAGCAATTAATAATTGGAATTTAAAATAAAAAAGTGGGCATTCATAGTGTTTGTTAAATGCATAAATCCATCTGTTTATTCTTTATCCAGGATTTTATACAAATACTGTCAAATGCCTGAGATACAGTGGGAAACAGGGAACATATATCCTAACAGTCAAACTTTGGTCAATAAACCAGCATTTCAGTCATGAATTTGAACAAACACCCAAATCTTTCTGAAATTCAGGACTCTTGCTTAAAAACATATTTAATCAAATGTGGCACAAAGAGTTATTATAATAATTTTAATAAGAAAATGAATATAAAATGAATATACTGTGTATCTGCACAGCAAATAGAACATTCTTCTTAAATAGTACTTGAATCCAAATCTAGTATTAAATGTAAACTAGGACTAATTAATTAACTAAATAAAAGTGATTAGCCTCAACTATATGACAGGCACTTGACCAGGTGATATGGTTATAAAGATAAATTAGTGAGGCACATGTCCTCCTTCATGGGCCTCTTCAACTAACAATGTAATCCAGTGGGATCTGAGGTCTTAACAATCCTGCCCCTGTATTACTTTTATCTACTTTCATCAAGCAAAGTGTAACTAT